>NC_000008.11:4594276-4896561 GCF_000001405.40 Homo sapiens | reverse complement strand
GGTTAGGTGAAGGAAGTATCTGAAGACATGAAGCAAAGAGCAGAGAGAGTGACAACATAAGATAAAAATTTTAGAGACAGAGTTTCAGTTTGAGAGTTTCAACATTTTCCTGGTAGATGCTCCATAACAAAAGAATTGAGAAAACATCAGTAAATAATCGAAGCGAGTAAATAATTTTGAAAATGCAAAAGCAATGCTCCCTGTGTTAAGCTCAAATATGCAGATTAAAGTGTGAATTAAATATTGAAAAGCATGAATGTAAAGAGACCCATAATTAGCGATATGCTAGGGAAAAGCATATAGAGACGGACTGGATCAAGGTGACCTGCAAAGTTGAAAGAACCAGACTGACAAGACACTTCACAAAAGCCATGCTGAATATGAAAGACAAAGGAAACAATCTTTCAAATGTTTAAAAAAATATTTATGCTACTAAAAGTAGCATTGATTTCAGAAGGCAGAAAAAAATTTTCAGACAGAGGAAGGCCTCTAAATAGTGCAAACCACACATTGAACTACAAAGAATTGTAGAATCATTACAAATATCTCAATCAGAAAATGGTTAGGGGAGGATGGCAAGAATTTAAACATTGAAAATTAGGTCTGAAAATGGAGGGATGATGTCAAAAAAATAATTGGTAACAATTCTGAACCAAAATTCAACGTATTTACAACAGGGGAAGTAACAAAAGGCAAGTGAAAGGAAGATAAATAATATCGTGGTAAAGTTCTCAATATTTTAGGGGATTTAGGAGCAGCTGTACAGCTTATTGATTTTAAATTTACTTTGGTAAAGTTTAATATCTTTGGTTAATTACTAGAAAAATAGAGGCTTTGTAGGTTTGAAGACTGAGGAGAAAAAAAAAAATCAGGGAAGGTGAAGGTGGATAGCAATTTGGAAAAAGGAGCCTCATCAGACCAACCACAACATCAGAGTAGGAAAGTCATATCATAAAAAGAAGCCCCCGAATAACTATAATCAATACCTTTGAATCAGCAAAATTTCTTTATCAGTAAAAACACTCCTTGACTTTTAAAATTTGTATAAAAAGACTGTGAATTAAGAAAGAAAACATGTACTAGACAAATGCCAATGATAAAGCAGAATAACAATGTTGATATCACAGAAAATGAAATTTACTCAGGCTTTGCATGGGAAAAAGAGGGATGTGTTTGGTGCATCATACTGAGCTAAACATGCTGTTACACTTACATTACTCCAGAAACTGAAATATTGGAGAGAAACAAAGACAACTAAGTCATACGGACTTACCATTTTCATAATCGTAACACACCTGAGTCAGAAATTGTTCATCTCTGAACGTGATTCAGGTTGTCTTAGTTGTACATGGTTAGCTTAGTTTTTTGTTATTATTGAACCTTCTACAAATAGTTATTATTTTTTGTACAGAAGCGAATGTAAATCAAATGTATTTTTGAGTGAAAACTCTTTAATAACCAGTTCCTGAGAGTGAAACATATTTACTCATGTTTAATGTACAGAAACAAAACAGATATTCTTATCAATGAAAAAACTCAGGTCAAGAGAAGTGAAGTTACTTGCCGAAGGCAGTAGATCAGAAAAGTGGAAGCTGAGCCCTGAACCTCAGCCATTTGATTCCTGGCCTTATGTTTCAAAGTGTCCTTCCTTGAAAATGTGCATTTTTGGCAAGGATTCATGAACAATAACATATAAAGTCACACAGAGAACCTTAATAAAAATTCAAAAGCAAATTGGCACAGATCAAGTTGTCCGTTCATGAGGAAATAAAATTAAAAGTCAGAAGATTTTATACATGTGCACACAAACACACTTGGTCCCCCTCGGTCCTCCTCAGACACACACACACACACACACACACAGTCTTTCAGATAACTTGACTTAAATCAAGAATGAAACACATTAAAATCCCTTTGCAGATATTTGCAGATAAATGATAATGGGTGGATAGAATATTATTTCATTCACAATATTGCCAATGTAGCTTTTTTTTTTTTTTTTCTTTTTTGAGATGAGTTCTCGCTGTTGTCCCCAGGCTGGAATGCGATGGTGCGATCTCGGCTCACTGCAACCTCTGCCTCCCGGGTTCAAGTGATTCTCCTGCCTCAGCCTCCCAAGCAGCTCTTAAAGCAAAATACATAACCTGAAATGGGCAGAGAAAGAGTGAAAGAGAGAATATGAAAGTAAATTATCTAAGTGTTTTTAAGAATCTACAAGCAGTGAATTAGTAGAAAATTAAATAAAAAATGAAAAATGTATATAAATTCAATAAATTTGAAAAAGCAAAACAAAAGACTTGATAGGTAAAAGATCAAAGCTTATTCTTCAAATTCTGAAATAAATGGATGAAGTTTGGGCATATCTGATAAGACATATAGAAAGAGCTAATAACATAAAAACTGTTCACTGTTAAAATAGAGATAATTTTTCAAATGTATGGGATACAGTGCGCAGGCCTATATGAAGACTTTTGGTAAGCTAGTTAAAATTCATTATTCTCTAGGAAAATACAACTTAAACAAAATAAATCAAAGAGAAAATCCAAAGGTATCTATACATAACAGATGTTGAAATCCTTCTTGAAAATCTGTACCTAAAAAAAAGACAAAAAGCTTTACAACATTTAAACCAACATTTTGCGAAAAAGACATTGCCCCGCCCCCTTGGTTAAATAGATTTTTTTCTGTTTTTGGGGAAAAAAGGGGTAAGAACAACTGTATGCTACTCACCGTTCCAGATATCAACATATGCTAAAAAGACATTGGAATCTGAACAATGTGACATTGGCTCTGAAAGCAGCACATAGATTAATGAAACAAAGCAAGTAGTCCAGAAGAAGACTTTTATGTAAATGTGAGTTTAGACTATGGTACAGGTGACAGTTTGAACCAGTTAGGAAAAAGAAGTTCGGCTTCTCATAAAATGTATTGGCAAATTAGCATATCTTATTGCAGAAAATGTAATTTATGTAAATACATCACACATTTACAAAAGAATTGTCATCTGGGTTTGAGGAAAACATAAAATTATTATTCAAAGTGGGTAAATTAAAATGTGCATTTTTATAATACATTAATTGGGAAGCTCTTAAAGACAACAAATAAACCCTGAAGACATAAAGAAAAACATTTAACTACATCTTTGTGAATATAAACATTAAGAAAAAAAATTCTGTATTAATAAAAGCATGGTAAACAAAGTTAAAAAAGTGACAGAAAAATACTAAACAACATAAAATAATGGATTACTCTACAGAATATATAAGGAGCTTCTAGTTCAAGAAAAACATCAGTTAGAAACATTGGAAAAATATTAAGTAGGCAATTAAAAGAAGAAATTCAGATACCAATACAACTATTTTAGTGAGTTAATAAAGCTGATGAAAATCACAGAAAAGCAAATTAAAACAACAAAAAGGTATTATGTTTACCTGTCACACTGACAAAAACTAGAAAGAGAGATAATATCCAGTGACGAGCCCTGGAGGGGATAATCGACACAGCCCTCATTCCTGGAAGTCAGTTTGACATTGACCATGCAAATTACAAACACAGATGCAGTATCACACCGTGCAAGCGTATTCCTTGGAAATCTTTCACAATATGCTCATATTAATGCACCATGTGGCATATAAAATATATTCACTTCATTAATACTTTATAAAGCCAAAGGGAAAACAGTCTAATGCCTCTTAGTAAGAATATTGTTAAATAAATTAAGGTGTGTTTATACTATGGAGTAGCATACAGAAGTTCCCATCTACAAGGTAGATTTATACCCTATTATTATTATATAATACAAAGAATAAAAATGAGATGCAAATCAGAAAGCAAAAGTGTTAAAAGCAATATATCAGTAAATGTACAAAAAGACTATATGAATGCATAGAAAACATAAGTCTGAAGAAGAAAACACTCAAAAGTTAAGTGTTCACGTCTAAGGAAAGACTACTTTTACTTTTTTCTGTATATATTTCTGTATGATTTTTTAAATATAATTAGGCAATACCTAACGCTAGTACAAGTAATATTACCCTTATTAGCCCAGGTGTCTTTGCAAATATTTACTATATTTTTCAGTTAGTAAAACGTGATTAAAAGACATGAACCTATTTTTTTATAATCTCTATTTGCAGTAGAGGGACACAGGACGCAGGGCTGTAAGCTCAGGATTCTCAACTCCCCCTTGCTCTTGTTCACACCATTTTTCTTGCTGTGGAGATGGCTTCGTCACCTAAGTATCAACCATCTGAGTATGTGATTGACTTCCTTTTAAAATAAAGGGACACCTGGCTACCCAGGTGGTATTACCATTTTAGAAGAGCACTATTTTATTGGCAATGTATTTTAAGGCCTGAAAGAATCTTGAAAAGTTGTTTCAATTATGCCTTAATGAAACTACTTTGTTCAAATTGCAGGTGACAAATGGGAAAAAAAATTTCCCTGTGACAGAGAGGAAGAAAATAGCAAGTTCTATTTCTTCCTACCTCCCGCACCTTCTACTGACTCAGAATGTTTATTTCTACATCTGGTGGTGTTAGTGGTGCTCTCATTACAGTGTTTAAGAGCTATTTTGGTCTTACCTCTTTTGGAATTTATGTCTGTAAAGGCCATCTTCTTTTTTCTTTTATTGTTGATAACCTACCATCTGTTTGTTTGCTAAAATAGAATCTAATACAGTGAATGTCAACTTTTACAATCAATGGATAATACAAGGTGTATAGTCTACACAAATAATGTAAATGCATTTAATTAAGTTAGACTACATGGGTTGCTAAATAATTGCTTGACTGAAATAACTAGGGAGTTTTGGGAAATAATTAATTCAGTATTTTATTTGAAAACTCTTTAAAGTGGTTTTGTATGCATTAATATAAGCCCTTAGGATAAATACATAGTGTTTCCAATTTCAATAAATTTGGATTCAGCATCTTTCAGCAAAACATCCGATTATGTGCTTAAGACATTTCCTAAAAGAGATGAAAAATAAATTGCAAGATGCTAGGAATTTCAAGGCAAACTCCCTATAAAAATATTTTTAGTATAAAACACTATTGTCTAATTCTTTTAATTACAGACCTTTCAAATTAAGAAAAACATTGTAAACTTAAATTAGGTTCACACACAGTAGCATGTATCAGAGGAATGAAAGCTCAATGTACCAACCTGATCAAGGGTCAAGTTATTCAATGAATAAAATGCTCTCTAATTCACTTCAATAAACTTCAGTCTTTCAAGTAAGGTTACATTGTTAGCTTAGTGTCTTCACTTGTAAGAGTATTCTTGTTTTACCTAAGGATGTAGAGATAGGTACAATTATTTGCACATAGAATTTTACCTCTTCATAGTGAGATGTGACTGTCACATGTTTCACTTCCAGATGTATTTTCAGAAATCTCATTGACTCAAAACACAGAGTTCATACCGTGGCATCAGCCTCTGCTCTCAGGAAGGCTTTGCTAGTTCCAAAGCTGGAAAATGGCCCATTATTCTATTAACTATTAATTTGGGCATGTAATGAATGGAACCATTTCCACATATCTATTTATTTGGAGAGGTCTTGATTGAAAACATGTGTTCTTACTATGAAATCAAACACCACCAATACTTTCCCTTGGATTCTCTGCCTTTGCGTTTCCCCAGGTGCACCACTCCCTCCTTGTGAGCTCTAGGGGTTTGGCTGAAATCATGTTTCTTGTCACTCAATGTGATCTGTGACTAAAGCAAACACACATCTTAATGTCGACAAAAGCGTCCTTAACCGGAATGTATTAGGTCGGTGCAAAAGTGATTGCGCTTTCTTCCATGACTTTCAATTGCAAACACCGCAATTACTTTTGCAGCGACCTAATAACATGCAGAACAAAACCAAAGCAGGGGAGGGTGTCGGAGTCACACGCTCTCATCTGTCCTGCCCAGGATGCCCATGGCTGTGAGGACCTGAAGCAGGGGAGGGTGTCAGAGTCACGCTCTCACCTGTCCTGCCCAGGATGCCCATGACTGTGAGGACCTGAAGGAGAGGAGGGTGTCAGAGTCACGCTCTCACCTGTCCTGCCCAGGATACCCATGGCTGTGAGGACCTGAAGCAGAAGAGGGTGTCAGAGTCACGTTCTCACCTGTCCTGCGGGAGGGTGTCGGAGTCACGCTCTCACCTGTCTTGCCCAGGATGCCCATGGCTGTGAGGACCCGAGTGCCATCTCCCCTGTATGTGCCTTCCTACTCTAATCCATAGGAACCTGGAGGTTCTCTCTCCTTTTCAGCTTACTTCGTAGACATTTGCATTTCTCGTTTCTCACCAAATTCACTCCACTCTATCGTGCTGCTTCAGTCTTCTTCCAGCCTGAGCCAAGATCAAGTGTGTTTATGAGATATTGACTAAAATGACTAGAAATTATTTCTTTAAAACAAAATTAAGGGGAAAATGGGATTTTTCTAGAGGCCATCATAAAATAGTTTTCTTTCTTAGAACTAGTTTCTGACGTATAAACTGATTGAACATAGTTTTAGCACCTTTACCTTTCACCTCAAGAACCTCAGGAAATATTAATTATTAGGTAAGATACCTGAAGTCATATATTTCTGTTTCATAGTTGTGATGTAGTTGAAAGGTCATACATTCTGGCTGTAAAGAGGACCACATTCCAAAACTGGCTCTGTGAACTGGACAAATTGCTATACATTTTGATTCTCTGTTTCATCATCAATAAATACAAAGTAACTCCAGCAATTCTAGTGGCTGTGGTTTGCACATCAAGTTTCAACATAGTAGGCCCTCACTATTAGTGTTCTAGGAAGAATACATAAAATATAATGTGTCAAAAATAGCCAAGGACCTATTAAGGTAAATTTTCTTTGCTTTTAATTACCTTTACTTACTGTTTTTCTCTCCAGCTTTAAATAAAACCTTATATTTGCAGTCTCTTATGGCTACCAGTAACCTTAAGCCAGTCATTATGGTTTTTTTTCTATTTTTTTGACATTTCACACTTATAGACAGTTTAAAAATAACAAGAATTGTTGTCTACCTTTCATACAACTTCCTGTAATGATAAACATATCACAAGGATATAAGCAAGGAAAATAATGTTAATAAAAAATGGCCTCACCTACAAAGCTTATTCAAATTTTGGCTACTTTTCCCAGCCAGGATTCAGGCTTACTCACTGCATTTGGTGGTTTCTCAGTCTTCCTTATCTTTCAAGAGGTTGACACATTTGTAGAAAACTTGATTCATAAAATTCTCCTCAATTTGAGTTTCTCTAATGTTTCCTCATGATTCAATTTAGGCTATGGATTTTTGGCAATAATAGAACTAATTTTGTGTTTTCAGAGTCATTCCTACTGATACCAGCTTTGACACTTGGTTGGGGCATGTCTGTCAGTATTCTCCACCTTAAAGTAACTTGTTCTTTTTGTGATTAATGAAAATACTGTGAGTGATACTTTCGGACATTGCACATATTCCGTTTCTCATCAAACGTTCATTCACTGGGCTTACCACATATTCATCCTTCTTGCCTGAAACAATAAATGCCATCGTGTTTGCCAAATGGTGATTTTTCTATTTCCATCATTTCTTTGATGCTTGGAAATTGGAATTATATTGTAAGTAAAGATTTTCCCTTCTCCTCATTCATTAACTCATTTAATTATTAATTTGTGTGAATGTATGGGTTACAAATCTTTGCTATTATTTCACTCTCTTTGTTGCTGAAAATCTCCCAGATGCCTATTGGAAGTCTCTTCAAGTTGGCCTTTGTGACCTTTTGATATGTCCTGTGATTTTTGGAAATGTTCTTACTTTTTAGCCCTAACACATATCCCAGGCTTGGCCTGCACTTTCCCTGCACCGGCCATGGAATGAGTCATTACCTCAAGGACCCCTGGTTTCTTTTGTTGGCAAATGATATTTATGGTGAAGATCTGTTTACCAATTTGCTTTTTGGTGTTGGGATGTCACTGCCGTAGTCCTTCTTAGCAGATAGAGTTAGGGTACAGGGGTCCATAGACTCTCACATAAACACACACATACCTCTCTCTCTCTCTCTCTCTCTCTCATCTATCAGTCTATCCTTCTGTATGTGTGCTCACACACCTATACGTGCAAAACAATATATATGTATATCATATGTTGTGTGACAGTTTTGAATGAAAGAATGGGAAATAAGAAAATATACATATATCTCCTCATTTTTTAAAAAAGGAAATGTAAAAATAATAAATCAATAACTAATGATAATGGTTACCTCCAGGGGCTTGATGTGAGGAGAGGGTGTGTATTTAACAACATATCTTGAAAATTACTCCTTATCGATTCCTAAATATAGCTTTATTTTCTTTCTATTTTTTCTTTCTTTTATTATACTTCATGAATACAATATGGATGTACCAATGTATCAATTTATTCATATACTCTTTTATATATGGCATTTAGATTATTTCTAATATTTTATAATTAAGAGTGTACATATGTATTTTTACATTGTTGAAAGTTTATCTTCAGAGTAAATTCCTAGAAGTGGCATATATGGGTCAAAAAAGGAAGGGAAAGAGAGAGAGGCATGTAAGCCTATATTGTTAGACTGGATTTTAAAAATGAGATTTAACCATATATTGACTACATGAGACTCACTTTAGATAAAAAATACGTGTATGTTCAAGTAAAAGAATGAAAACTAACGCATTATGCAAATATCAGTCATGCAAAAGCTGGAGTGGCTGTACGAACACTGCTCAAAAAAGACTTTAAAACAAAAAGTGTCACTAGAAACGAAGTGAGACATTTAAAAAAAATGATAAAATTGTCAACTCATCAGGAAAATATAACAAATGTAAATATATATGCACCTACCAACAAAGCAAATAAAGCAAATAAATAAATAAATAAAGCAAATATAAATAAAGCAAAACCAGTAGAATTAATAAATATTGAAAATAAAGCAAAACCAATAGAATTAAAAAGCAGAAATAGATTAAAATAATGGTTGGTGACTTCAATATCCCACTTTCGTTAACAAATAAAAAACTATGTAAAAAATAACAAGGAACTAGAAGAATTGAATAGCATCATGAATTATCTACACGTAACAAAAACGTTTGTAAAAGTAGCCAAGTGAAAAAAATCTAATATACCTCGGTTCTCATTTGCAGATGAACTGTTGTCCATGATAACTGTATTTACGTCATAAAATAAGCCTTAATACATTTAAACGGATTGAAATCCTACAAAATATGTTCTTTAACACATTGTAATTGAGTTAAAAGCCTCTAGTAGAAACTAGGAAAAGTCTACATGTATGGAAATTAAACAGCATACAACTAAATAAATCATGAGGCAAAATAATCACAATGTAAATTATAAAATACTTTGCGGTAAAGGCATATAATGACTGAACATATCAGATCTTATGGAATGCAGGTAAAACTGGGCTTAGATGAATATTTATAGCTGTAAATGTTTATATATAAAAGAAGAAAAATCTCCAATTAATATCCTAAACTTCCACCTAGCACATTGGAAATGGATTATCAACATTAACACAAACCAAGCAAGAGGAAGGAAATATATAAGAGTTGAGCAGAAAATGATGAAATACAGAATAGAAAACACAGAAAATGAGTGAAATCAAAAGTTGGTTATGTAACATCGACTAAATATTTTTAAAAAGTCTTAAATAGACTTTCCAATTAAAGCAAAAAGAAAAGTTACTTAAATCTGAAATGACAGAAGAGATCATTTAACAATTTTACAGAAATAAAAATATTTTAAGAATAAATTTATGCCAACAAATCTGGTAAAATAAATTTTTTTAGAAGTCCTAGAAAGAAGACACCGAGTACCAAAAGTGACTCAAGAAGAAATAGAAAATCTGAATGAATCTGTGATATGTACTGTGATTACTTGGAAATAAAAATATCTACTCACAATGGAAACCCCAGGCATCACAGTTTTACTGCTGAATTATATGAAACAATTAAAGAAGACCTAATGTAAATATATCCACACTTTCAAAAAATAAAAGAGAAGGAAACACTTTCCAACTCATTTTACAAGGTCAGTAGAAATTTGATGCCAATAAACTAAAAAGACATCATAAAGAAATCCACAGACCAATATCTTTTATGAATATAGATGCAAATTTCCTCAACAAAACATTATCAAGAAAAATCCAGCATCATAATAATGTATTAAGGAATATACATTTATAATATACATAAAATAAAAAAATATATATAGTGCTGGAACAACTAGATATTCAAATGCAAAGTGACAAAGTTGAAGCTCAAAACGGATCAGAAATTCCAGCATTTTGAGAGGCCGAGGCAGTGGTTTGCTTGAGGTCAGGAGTTTGAGACCAGCCTGGCCAACATGGTGAAACCTGATCTTTACTAAAAATACAAAAATTAGCTGGGAGTCGTGGCATGTGCCTGTGGTCTCAGCTACTCAGGAGGCTGAGGCAGGAGGATCGTCTGAACCTGGGAGACGGAGGTTGCAGTGATCCAAGATTGCACCACTGCAGTCCAGCCTGGACAACAGAGGGAGACACTGTCTCAAATAAGTAAATAAATAAGTAAATAAGTAAATAAAAAGGATCAGAGACCTAAATGTAAGAGCTAAAATGATAAAATCCTTACAAAGAAAACACAGGCATAAATCTTTGTCAGCATGGAGAAAGCAGTGTTGATTTTTTTGTTTTGTTTTCAGATAAGAGCAAAAACACAAGCAACAAATAATACATATATAAATTGGATTTCCTCAGAACTCAAAACTTTGCACATGAAAGGAAACCATCAGGAAAGTGAAAATATTGTTTCATTTTTATTTACTATATATTATAATACATAAGTATATCTTTATTATATCTCTAATATTAAAAATAGTTTTATATTTAATGAAGAAAGAAAGGTTGATTCAACACCTGAAAATCTATTAATGTGATATACTATATCAACAGGATAAAGGACAAAAGCCACCTAATCATCTCAGTAATGCAGAAAAAGCATTTGACAAAATCCAACACCTCCTCATAATAAAATCAACAAACAAGAATTACAGTGGTGTTTCTCAACTTGATAAAGGACATTTATGAAAATTGCACATGTAAGATTATACTTAATGTTAAAAGACTAAACGCTTTCCCCCTAAGATCAGGAACAAGACATCGATGTGCCTTTTTGGTACTTCTGTTCAACATTGTGCTAGAGGTTTTAGAAAGCATATTAGGCAAGAAAATGAAAGACAAGGCATCCAGAATAATAAAAAAAAGAAGGAAAACTATCTCTCATTTCTGATGGTACACTCTTGGACATGGAAAATGCTAAGAAATTCGATTAAAAAACTATTATATCTAAAAATAAAATTTAGCAGGCTTGCAGGTTACCAGATAAAGTAGACAAATCAATTGTAATTCTATATACTTGAAATGAGACTCTGCAAATAAAATTAAGAATACCATTCCATTTACAGTAGCTTCTAAAAGAATGCAATAATACTTTTAACAAAGAAGTTCAAATTTATACTCTGAAAACAAAATATTGTTTAAAAGAATTAAAGAAGACCTAAATAAATAGGATGAAATACTGAATTTCTGTGTTGGGAGATTTCATATTGCTACAGCAATCTTCAGTTAAGCTGAAGCTTCAATGCAATACCTATATCTATGTTGCAAAAATTGATAAGCTGACCCTAAAATTTATGTTGAAATTCAAGAGAACCCCAAATACCCAAGGTAGTCTTGAAAAGGGGGAATAAAGTTAGAGAACTCATGCTTCCCAAATCTTATTCCAAAGCTACCGCAATAAGACAGAGTTGCAGTGACTTAAGGATAGACCTATTGATCCAAGGAAGGAAACTGAGAGTCCAAAAATAAACCCTTATTTTTCTGGGCAATTGTTATTTGATATGACTGCCAAGACAATTCAAATAAAGTAATAGACTTTTCAACAAATATGCTAGAACAACTAGATATTCAAATGCAAAGTGATGAAGTCGAAGCCCAATCCATCTCAATATACAAAAATTAACTCAAAAAGGACCTAAATGAAAGAGCTAAAATTATAAAATCCTTACAAAGAAAACACAGGCATGAATCTCTACAGGCATGTAGAAAGCAATTTTGTTTTCAGATAAAAGCAAAAGCACAAGCAACAACAACAAAAAATACATATAGATATTGGACTTCATCAAAACTCTAAACGTTGTACCTCAAAGGAAATCATCAGGAAAACACAAAGATAACCCACAGAATGGGAGATAAATTGGGCGAATCATCTATCTGGTAAGATACTTGTAACTAGAAAAAATAACATGTATATATAAACATAGGTATGTGTGTGTGTACACACACACACACACACGAAGTTCTTACAGCTCAATAATAAAAAGGCAACCAAATTTTTTAAAAGAAGCAAAAGGTGTGAATAGACATTGATCCCAGTAAAGTAGACAGATCACCTTCTGGAAATTTGTTCAATATCATTTGCCATCAGGGAAATGCAAATCCAACCATAGTGAGACACCATTTGACATTCACTACGAAGGCTATTATCAAAAATACAGACAATAGCAAGTATTGTAGAGGATTGGAAGAAATTGGAAGGCTCGTAGGCAGCTAGTGGAAATGTGAAATATTGCAATCTCTTTGGAAAACAGTCTGGCAGTTCCTCAAAATGTTAGACATAAAGTTACCATATGACCCAGAAATTTCACCCCCAGTTATAAATCTAAGAGAAATTAAAATAAATGCTCACAAAAAAATATTTTTTGTGTACATGAATGTTCATAGCAGCATTGTTGATAATAACCAAAATGTGAAAAAATAACAAATGCCCATCAACCAAAGAATAAATACACAAAATATGGTATGGCCATACAATTGGTTATTATTCCGCAATAAAAAGCATAAAGTACTAATACATGCTACAATATGAATTAACCTTGACAGATTATACTAAGTGAAAGAAGCCAGCCACAAAATATTATGTGATTCTATTATACGAAATGCTTGGAATTGGCAAATGTCTAGATTTGGAAAATATGGTAGTGGTTGTCAACATCTGGTTGATGAGGAGAAAATAAATTGACTGCTAATGGTCATGGGTATTTCTTTTTGGGATGATAAAAATGTTCAAAATGAGAGAGTGGTGATGATCTTGCATTTCAATATACTGAAAACCACTGAAACGTATTATTTAAAATGGTAAATTTTATGATATGTAAATTATATCTGATAATTATATCCAAATAGAGGTATTATATACATTTATCTGTAACTCTATTTATCTTGTATCTATATTAGCTTTCATCATTCTCTTATCTGATCCTTGTTAGAAATCAACCATGTTGCTCTGGTAGACGTCATGTTCTGCTAGCATTCTACAGCATTCTTGCACAAGAGAAAATGACGATGCCCCATTGCGATATTGAATTCTTAAATTTCCTTTCCACCTTACTATAAAATCTTGTAGAGGACTCCAGATTTTCTCTGCTAGTGCTCTTAAGTAATCCATAGCACTCTAACGATGTTATTGGTGCTTTGTGGAAAGGAGCTCTCAGCTAATTGTCAATTTTCTCTTCTGTCTTGGCAGTTTTTAGGTTTAGTTTGGAGCTAACACTGCTAGCTCCCTCTTGATGGTTTTCTTCACTTAATCTAGTGAAGAAATCTAGGACTTGCTCTCATTCCTTTGCTTTCTTCCTTCAAAGTCTTAATCCCAATATTCAAGTCAAAGGAAAGTAGAAAGTTTTCCTCAGTTTGTTACTGAAAAAGGAGGAAGTGTTCAGTGTAAGGCATTCTGTTTTTTTTAAAAGATAATTATTATAATATTATAACATATTATAAAGGTGTTTTAGTCTGGTTCCCAGAGGAAATAAACGGCACATCAAATGGAATAATTTGAAGAGTCTACAACGTTGTACACAGAGCATGGGAAACCCGGTGGATAGTTGAATACCTCATTGCATCTTTCTCTATGCTTGGGGTTGAATGTTCTTAGGGAAAGTGGGGTTGCCTCAGCAGAGGCCACGGACAGAAACCATTACCTGTGGGAGAGGAAGCCTTCCTTTGAAAACAGGAAGAAGCTAAAGCAACAAAACGCCAAACTCGCCCCCCAATACTCTTCAAATTCCCTCCGGAATTTGAAGCTAAAGCCACACAATGCCAAACTCGCTCCCCAATACTCTTCAATTTCCCTCCGGTACTCCCCATTGCCCAAGCAAACCAAGCAGGCGACATGTCAGGAGAGGTCGTTTGTCTGCCGTATGCCATTCAGCCACGTGAGTTAGAGAGGTGGGAGGAGAAGGGGCGACATCCACCCTCAGGGCACGTAGAGGATGCTGGTCCCAGTGTGTGGGAAATCCACCACGCAGTGTACACCACCGTCTAGTGCCAAGGAGACTGGGATTTCCAGCACTTGTAACTACATGTGCTTCATCAGCCTACTCTAGTTTATTTTACAAAATACTGTGGTTAAATGAGGGCTTATTATTCGTACTTTCTAAATAAGAAAACAGAAATTCAGTGAGATTACTTGCCCAGGATTGCAAATAAGTGTTGGAAGGGCTGAGATTTCTTTCCAGGTATAGCTGAGCCCCATGTCATATCCTTTTCATTGCATGAAGCTGATTCTCCCTGCAAGAAGAACCCCACAAAAGTGTCCAGCATCAATGTTTTTCCCCTGCCTCATAAAAGTGTTGAAAAATAACAAAACAAAATAATGCTCGAATTGTAGAATCTTGGCTTTTACTTATAGGCCCAAATCATCTTATTCCATGCAGTTTGTGAATAAAATGCTGTACAATGTCAACAGTGTGGTCTCTAAAGAAAAAGACCACTGCTGCATGCTTTTTATTCAAAATATCAAGTGGAAGGGCTGAGGTTGCAGAATACCTTAAAGACTCTTTATGTATTTAAAACTTTGCATAGTTTTTTATTTCCAAATTTAAGAAATCAATTAAACATGAATTTATTGAATAAATTTGAGCTTGTAAAATATATTGAGGCGTAAATGAGATAAAAAAAAAAAAAAAAAACTAACTTCGAGTTTCTGACCTGGAAGAGCCTAATTCTATAGGCAAGGGTTTATTGCATGTAGGGAGACAAGATAGATAGATAGATAGATAGATAGATAGATAGATAGATAGATAGATAGATATGTATACTAGGTATATTTGTTCAACTATATCCATTTAATTGCTCACAAAATAGTTACTGTGTAACCATAGTATATTAGTTATTATGTATTCAAATAAAAAAATGCATTGTCACTATCCTTGTAGAGGGCACAGTCTGGCAATGAAGTCACAGAGAGACCACATATTGATAACTCAGTGAGAAGTACTAGAATGGACCTATGTATAATTTATTTTTCACATAGCACACAAAGGAAACTGCTAAATCTAGAAACTCAAAGTGAAATATGATTAAATCAAGATTATAATTGCCAGTGATACTATTAATAGGGGAAGAACAATGTGGGCTGGAGTAGCTGGCAGAGTCCTCTAGGAAAAGAGTTGGGAACTGAGCCCTGAAAAATGGGAGGATTTGGATAGGTGGGAAAGGAAAGGAAAGGCCTCATTACTGGTTTCAGAAATAGTGAGAACATGGATTCCTGGCCCATTCTGGGTGTTTGCTAAGTCCAAAGATAGTAAATAAGGAATGTAACATTTCTTAAATTCTCTTTCTATAAAGCATGAATAATACTAAATAGCTTAGATCAGGGACCTTTCATGACAAGAATGACAACAAAAGTGAAAACTTTTTCTGAGTGCAGGAAGAAAATGCACAAAGAAATGAGTATATTGAAGGCAAAAGATTGTTCCAACTCATCTTATCATGGACACGTGGGATATTTATGATTATGCGATGGGCAGAACAGGCACGGCAGAAAAGTCTCTCTGTCTCCACTTCCGATTGCTTCATCGGGACGCTTCGAACTGAGTAAATCTCAAATCCAATAGAGGCAATGTGGGCTTTGAGAACACAGGAAGTGTGTCTATGTAGTAAAGAGGATTTCAGAGGAGGAGGCGAAGGAAAAGGTGACATTTAAAGGGAGTGGTTCTGTATGACAGAATTCATGGGCTACACAACAGCACAGGAAATTCCTCTCTTCTCAGACATCACCGAGTCATCATACATCTGTAAGGAGTCCTACGATACTCTGATGCCTTCTCTTTTGGAGGCAAACAAGTGGTTTGTGTGTTCAGACGTCAAGTAAATTTGACTATCTTAGCTGCAGCCTATGAGTTTGCAGTGGAATCAAGGTGGTGTGTGAGATCCCCAAAGCTAACTTCATTTTTTTTCTCCATCCTTTGGGGAACAGGTCACTGAATGCGTATCTCCGAAAAATGATAGCAGTGTGTTCTTCCCTTAACTCTCTCCTGAAAGAGAAATTCAGCCACATGTCTGGGAAACATATCACAATATCTTCCAGCAGAAAGTGGCAGAGTTTCTTAGACCGAAATAATAAGATTACAACGGCCAAAACTAATAAGTTCAGCAGAAAGGTAGGAGATTACTTTTAAAGCCAAAAATACTTTTAAAGCCAGAAATAAATCAGCCAATGGATGATTCAGATATAATATTGCTTTTACAACAAAGGGAATGAACCTCAACAACAACGACAAAATGAATTCTGGTTGGGAAGTTAATGAGATAAAATCCAGACTTGTAAGAACATCCTGACTGATTTGATTGATCGATTTTATTTGCCAAATAAAAATTGCATATTTTTATCTTACACAACATGATGTTTTGAGAGATGCATACATGGTTAAATGCATTCATCTGTCCCCTGTCACTTGAGATTTCCGGTTCTATAACATTATGAAAGTCCCAATCCCTTTCTAATAGCACTTTTTTTCGCAGTGCTCCACCTCTCCCGATTCTCCTGCTTTCTATGGGCCAGTTTATCTCAGACTTTCCTATTCTGGCTCTTTAACTGTTGTTGATTCTGTAACTACAGTCTCCTTATTTTCTTCTTCGTTTTATAAAAATCTCCCTAGAAATCGTATTCATTTTCTTGTAAAGAAATACCAATTATGTATTTCTGTCCCTTATAAACAGCAGATGTTATAAATTCATATTTGCTATTTCAAAGTAGCTCCTAAAATATCTTCCCGATCCCCTAAACTTCCTCCTAATTCTTCTTCATATCAATTCATTGCACTAAGTTCAGCCAGTTACTCATGCCATTTATTCATAACCATTTCTCCCATCTCACTTTCCTAACTTCCTAATCCTATATTTCCAAGTCCTGCTAAATATAGCCAATAAACACAAATTGAAACTATCTCCCCTATTCCATTTCCGCAACCTTTCCTCGAGTTGATGTCCTTGTCCCTGTTCATGAAACGCTGCAGCCATTGGCCTGTCTCTCTGTGCCTGCCTATTCTCCTTCCTTTATTATATTTTTTAAAGCTGCCACCATATTTTGTTTGCTCAATACGTAAATGATATCTTTTTTTGTTTGTTTGCAAAGCTTACTTAGTGTCTACAATATCAAGTCTTACTACCTTAACCCTTGAAATCTTTTCTCAAACCCCAAATATCCTGTCCCTTGCCCTCACCCATCCTGTTCTCCCATGACCCCTCTCCCTGCTTCTCACTGTGCCTTGGCAGGTCCTCTTCACCTTGTCGTCCTCTTCACCTTGTCGTTCTCTCTGCTCGGAGCATCATCAGCTTTTTGTGTGTCTGGGTTCTGCCTTATCCTGCAAGTCTCGGTGACATATTAAAAATTTCTCCTCTGTACTGTTTTTCAGCTTCATAGAGGAGGGATAAACTCAAACTATAATCTTAAAACCCACAAATTTACTGTGAATGTTTTCTACACAAAAGATACTGCTGGGTGCCATTTCAACTGTAAAAATGGGTAAAATACAGAATATAAGACCCTACACATTTCACAAGTAATGAAATTTCCTTTGAAATTTTGAGAGAGCATAATTTCCAGCACCTCTACTAACTGGTGATAGAAATTATGCTCTCTTTTTGTGTCTTGTATTCTATTGACTTTTGGGGGTTGTACAAGAAATAATCATTCTGAATAATAATAAAAATCATCATCATCATCATCATCATGATTCTATGCTGTCTTACCTCTACCTACCTTCCTCCAAAAAACCCACAAGGACATTTTTAATCATATATTACTAATACTTTCTACAAAATGAAAGCTATATTTAATGGTATAGTTTAGGCTTCCATCAAATGACACAACTTATGTGTACATTTTCCCGAGTTCTGCAGAAAGATGAGTTCTAATTGCCTCGCGTTGTGTTAAGTTGGTCAAGAAAGCACCATTAATTTACTTTTTTCCTTTCCTTCCCTGACCCTTTCTTTTCTTTTCTCACCTTATCTTTTCTTGTGAGTGATTTTAAGAACCACCTCCAAAACAAACTGCTCATTCTAAAATAATTTTCTTAGACTCCACTTCTGAGGAAAGCCAAAACAGAACACGCTGAGGGTTACTGGTCACATACTCAGACAATGGCATCATTTTACAGAGATTCTTAAGCTCAGATCAAATAGGTTTTATGTGGTGATGGGATGCTGACAGGTCCTATTTCTGAACAGGGTCATGGGTGTGCACATACATATGTGTTTGGATTATAGTGTGTCTCTGTTTGGGTAGGTCCCTTTCCCATTGTACATGATGGAAATTTCCTTCTCAATGATGTTCCTTGATGCTACACTGGGTAGAGCAATTTGTTGTTTAAATATTTTCACTTGAAGGCAAAGAAGACGGGCCTGTTAGTGAAAAGATTTGAGTCACCAAATCTCTAGGACTGTACTTTTTACAGGCATGAATACATCCTTTGAAAGTGCAAACACATAGTCTGTCTTCCTCTTTAAAGATAATATGGAAATAATTCCAGATGGAATAGGGGAGATAGTTTCAATTTGTGTTTATTGGCTATATTTGGCAGGACTTGGAAATATAGGATTAGGAAATTAGGAAAGTGAGATGGGAGAAATGGTTATGAGTAAATGGCATGGGTAACTGGCTGAACTTAGTGCAATGCATTGATATGAAGAAGAACTAGGAGGAAGTTTAGGGGATCGGGAAGAGATTTTAGGAGCTACTTTGAAATAGCAAATATGACTTTATAACATCTGGTGTTTATAAGGGACAGAAATACATAATTGATATTTCTTTACAATGGAATTATTACTCCTTTTTTCTGTAGTTCTTTATGATAAACAGAAATGTAAAATAACATAATTTATCTTAACCCTGATTAATGTAAAATTTTTAAATGCAGCCAATCTTATATTTCCTGTAATAGTCAAAATACTGGCTACAAATTGGGATCTTCTTATGTACATCTGTTTAGATTTATGCTCCTGTTTTATTCAGCTACATTGCATACTCATTCAGGGGCCATTGTCAAAAGACACATCTTCAAGTGTAAAATGTGTCATGAAAAAGAGCATGATAAAAAGAAAAACTTAAATCTTTATAAATGGAATTCAATAAGTAGTGTATTTGAAAGAAATAACTGTTAAAATTAATCTCCACATAAGGAGGATGCCTTTTATTTTTCTTTCTGAGAAACTCTTTTATCTTTGTATTATACTTATTGTATATATTTTTAATTGTCATAAAATTACATAATGTGTAATAATTTTTGTGTGCATGGATTAGGAGAAAGCTAATCTCCTTGAATCAATGTGTTCTTTGCCTTTTTGCTCATTCTTACCTACAATGTTGTGAAAATCTTCTTGATCTTAACTTCTATTACTTGAACTAATTTAGATCTGAGAAGGAAAAATAAAACACCCCCAAAAAACTGAGAAATGACTCCAGATGTAAACTGGTACACTCAGCACACAAGAAAGAGGTCATGATATTGTCTTAGAAATTAGCACAGAAGGAGACTATATGCACCTAACGGCACTTAAAACACAACACATTGCATTGTGCTTTTCCTAAATAACCTATTGTGAACTGATGTGCTAAGTTTACAAAAAAAGGCTATATTATGAATAAGCATCCTTGTACGGTGAAAATTGAGAAAGCATTGAAATGTGCTGATTTGCTTAAATGTTTACACATAGTCTTGTTAAAAGCAATCTAATTCCAATAACTAAGTGTACAATTTTTAAAATTGTTCTTAGTATGTATGAAGTAAAGATCTTTACAAAAACAGGCCACTTGTACTCCTTTAACGGTTTGCTCTGTATTTCAGAGAGGTATGCATTTTTTCACAATTGTTTGTTACCTGTAGATTTTAAGTTAATTCTGTTGCCCATGAATACCACTCTCCTTTAAAGAAGCAATGATTGCAGCATATGAATTGTCATGGAGGGTAATATTATACCACAGTAGCAGATTACTGAAAGACTGAGCTCCAAAAGTGGCCTACATATTTAGGTAAATTTATGTTATTACCCAGCAGGGAAATAGACTAAGCAGTCATTTGTATTCCTTAATTTTACCATTGTTCAAACCAAGCTGAACTTACTGTACTTTTTTGTTATACTCATTAGGCTATCTGCTAGTTTTCTGAAGAATTGAATTGATAGGTTTTTTCCCCTTACTAAAATTCTAACTTTTTACTCTTTACTATAAAAATAAAAATCGTGTTCATAAGAAAATGTGAAAAATAGCATCTCTTATTAATGAAGAAAATTCTTTAAATTGTTGCTATTAAAGACTCTTTTGAGTAATTAAATATTCACTAAATGGCTTTCATAAATTATTTCAGATTATACTAGTGTTTGTGTGTGTGTGTGTGTGTCTGTCTCTGTGTGTTCATTTTTATATACAAACCATTATATCTTAGAGTTCCCTATCCTCTGAATTTAAGGTTGCTTGTTTGAGCATACCTATATACATATTTGTTAGTATTTATCTTGGTTTCTCAGCTCTACTTAGGTTTATAACTGATTACTTTTCTCAGATTTGTTGTAATTTCTCTTCTTTTTCCAATCATATCCTATTGCAAACAACTCAAGCTACGCTTAGAGGGCAAAACCAGCTTCGAATCATGGTGACAAGATCTATGCTTCTGCTTGAGTTGGACAGTAGATGGCGCTAGACAAATGCCAAAGCTTCATCTCATGGAGTTGCTCAAGTGAGACGCTTTGCATCCAAACATGTAAAATGGCTTTTAGCTTTAATTCATATTTAGGATAGAACTCCCTCCCCTGTTTAACAATTTATTCTGGAGAAATAAAGGCTTGATAGAAGAAAACAAGTCACTTTTCAGTTCCAAAATATTCAATAACCGTCGCATGTTATTACAAGGTCATATCATATTTTCGAACTGAGAATCAGTGAGCTTGTATATTACCAGAGGACTTGGGTATAGCGCTTGTTCATATATAATTCTCATGCTTATTTTCCTTCTCAGCTTTTAAAGTACTACTGTACAGAGAAAGAGACACGAATCTTTCAAGATTTGTAGGCAGAGCACATACTACCTTACCATGAGGGAAGGAGGGCTTCTGTATTTACTCTGAATTCCAAATACCAGGAAAGATTTTCTTACAAAAAAAGAAAGGAAGAAAGAAAGAAAGACAGAGAGGGAGAGAGAAGAGGAAGGGAGAAAAGGAAGAAAAGAAGGGAAGGGAAGGGAAAGAAGGAAATAAAGGAGAAAAAAGCAAAAGATAAAAATGAAATGAAAAATAAAGCTTGTGGAAATATCTAATATAGTATATACTATATATACACTATACTCTATACTATATATACACTATACTATATTTAATATTATATATATATAAACCAGAATTAAGTGTGTGTGTAAATATATATATATACACACACAAAAAGTCTATCTCTATTTCTTTCTGTCTATATGAAATATCCATCTATATAACTTAAGGTGTTAAGAATTCAGATATAATTCAAAAATAAGTAAATTCACTGTTAGCTATTCTACATAAGATGCCAACTGATCCCAGGACTCTGGGAGGCCAAGGTGGGTAGATCACCTGAGGTCAGGAGTTCGAGACCAGCCTGGCCAACATAGTGAAACCCCATCTTTACTAAAAAATACAAAAATTAGCCGGGAGAGGTGGCAGGCACCCGTAATCCCAGCTGCTCAGGAGGCTGAGGCAGGAGAACTGCTTGAACCTGGGAGGCAGAGATTGCAGTGAGTCGAGAATGGAACACTGCATGCCAGCCTGGGTGACAGAGCAAGACTCCGTCTCAGAAAAAAAAAAAAAAAAATACAATCGGATTGAAAGATCTCCTCCACCATCCCTTTCTTTTCATTTATGTATTAATAAGTACTGCAAATTAAAATAAACTAATTGATAAATAGAAATTTAGATTTTAGAATGCGATTTTAGGCAGTATCCCACGTAATTTGATGAAAACCACGGCCAATTATACAGTGGCTTTCTTGATCTTATTAATCACACATGTTCATTGTTCATTCATTATGATGCAAGTATAAAGCTATTTTGAAAAAGATAAAGTTATCTATCAGTAGCTGAGGTGTGGAATACTACAGACCAAGGCCTGATGCGGTGCTTGCCTATGTTAAAGTTTTAAGGTAAAGGTAGATGACACACAGATAGATAGATGATAGACTAATCATGCGATTACAACACATATAGTGGTTATTTACTCCGAATGAGATTGCATATTTATAGCTTGAAATAGTTCCTTGCTTTTTTTCCCCTTCCATACTTCCTTCTTTCCTTTCTTCTTTCTAATTGCCTTGTCTAAAAGCCGTAGTGCTTCAAAAAGTATTCATCTAATCACCTTTATATAGAGTAAAATATAAAACAACTTATAAGAAATGGCCTTTATGTTGATTCCAGCTTCAAACACAGTGCTACTTTCTATAAAATAGGTGCTACATATTTTTCAAGGCTTTGAGCTCCTTGAAGCCAAATATTGGTTTAGTTTGATTAGTTCTCTACTGTATCATCAATAAGTGTTTACTGAATGGATAGATGGAAAGTTGAATGGAGGAATGAACATTGATCGATTGCTTAATTAGATTTCTAGCCTTGAAAAAAGTTGAATTGTTTCTTGTCAGCAACTTTGAAGTATCATATGTTCTTAGATGCTGTTAAGATACTACACACAAGTTGAAGCATTTCCAGTTCCACTAAGGTCAGTTTTAAGAAGTAAAATTTCTGGAATTTTTTCTCAAGAAGGGAATATTCTCTGAGTTAGATTCTAGAGTCTTAGTTGATTTCCTGCTGAGTGTCCGGGAGTCTCTCCTCTATCGCTGATCTGCGTGTCATGTTCATACAAACCAAACACACATATCTCACTGTTTGGAATGGGTCTACGAATGTGAATTTTAAAAGGCATTTTTTAGATAGTTTTTAAGAGATTTTGATCTGAGTGAATTTCAAACCTCTGCAAAATTCCCACCACCAAACCCCAATAATTAAATACAGATTACTCATTGTTGCCACCTCCTATCATTTTGAAATGAATCAGGACCAACATGTCATTTTATAGAATCAGATGACATGTTATATACCTTCATTTTGGTAACCATGTTACAATGTATACATATACGAAAACATCATATTGTACACCTTAAATATATACGATTTGTGGTAACCATTTCACAATGCTTGCATATATCAAAGCATCACACACTGTACACCTTAAATATATACAATTTTTGTTTGCCAGTCATACTTCAATAGAGATGGAAATAAAATAAAACATATGTCAAAAAATTCAGACATCGCACAAAGTATTCGCCAGTACTACTCCAGTATGAGCCAATATCCAGCAAGTGTTCAAATTTCAACTTGTTTCATAAAGGGCAAAAACAGTAACACAGAAGGTTTGATCACAAAAAGTGAACTATGAATTATAAATGTGCAAGATATCTTTTAATTATCTTTTAATCCACAGGCTCTTCTCTGTCTCTTTCTGTCTCTGTGTTCCTTGCAAGTTGTATTGTGAATTCTACTCTCGCAATTTCTGAGGCAGTGTATTAGACTGTTTTCATACCACTGTAAAGAACTGCCTGAGACTGGGTAATTTATAAAGGAAAGTGTTTTAATTGACTCACAGTTCTGCAGGGTTGGGGAAGCCTCAGGAAACTTACAATGATGGTGGAAGGTGAAAGGGAACCAGGTGCCTTCTTCAGAAGGCGGCAGGAAGGAGTGCTGAGTGATGGGAGGAATCCTCTTATAAAACCGTCAGACTTCATAGGAACTCACCTGCTATCATGAGAGCAGCATCAGGGAAACCACTCCCATGATTCAATTACCTCCACCTGTTCTCTTCCTTGACATGTGGAGATGATGGGGATTATAATTCAAGATGAGATTTGGGTGGGGACACAAAGCCTAACCATATCAGGCAGTATTGCAAAAACACACACAGAGAAAAAGGAAGTAAATATTGTCGTCCCAACTCCAAGGCCTCTATGCCTTACTTGAGTCACACAGGCTAACACAGAGTGCCTTAGTTTGCATTCATTTGCTACATATTCAATACATTGTTGTGAGGATAAAATGAGTTAATATATTTAAAGCAGTGACAACAGAGCCTGACACATACTAGGGAATTTGCAAGTTATTTATTAATATTGTCTGCAGGAGCCATGAGGATTTTGCAAATGATCAGCACGATGTGTTTCTGCAAAATGCTGGGGCCGTGCTGCTGTCACCTATGCTTGGTCCAGACCATAGAGATAGTGGGTAAATGAAAACCAGAGACAGAGTACAGAATTGCAAGGAAAGACAGGTGTCATCCATCAAGCAATGACCAACTGGAGACCTGCTGGCAAGCACAGAACCTGCCTGTCCTCTGATGTTACTGGAAAGGTTTTTCAAAAGTGTACAATCTAAATGTACAGTTTCAAAAGAGGGAAAAATAAGCTCCCATACAATAATATGAACTCTGAAATTATGCATTGAGCTGCTACTTGGGATTTTTGCTAGATTCATTAATATTTAATTTTATGATATAGTTCCTAAAGAAGAGTTGTTTGCTATCTGGGTTACTGCTATGGCTTTCCAACTGTTTCATGAAAACCATTTGATCTTTGCCTTATCAAAAATAATAAAAGCAAAACATAAAAACAAAACACTAATATGTTGGGTGCTTGGTGAGACCATTCATTTACAGATACACGGGCGTTGGGTCAACTTGATTATATTCACACGCATCTTTCTTTATGTGGCTCAGCGGGAATTGCCACTGTACTGGAACTCATGGTGTTAGATAAATGTATTCAGGTTGAAAATACCTGTTGGGCTTTGGAAATGCCATTTATATCAATATGCATAGCTGGAAGCATCAGAAAATCTAAATCCGTGAAAGAAGGCAAGAAGTGCATTGCAGTGGAAATTTAAAATTTCCTAAGAAAATGGGCTGTCACAATAGCCACATGCTAGCTCTGGACCACCCACTTCCTTTCTTAGAACAAAATCCTATGGAAATACTCATACATGATGAATCCCATGCTACTTATTTGCCTTCCCTAGATTCTCATCACGGCTGCACCTATCTCCCAGCCCCAGCTACTGCCTCCTCCCATGGCCCAGGCCAGAGCTGTTGCAACTGCCTCACCTCCCAGCACTGCTGACTCTCCCAGCTCCCCAGGGTGAGCACAGCTCTGACACCCAGACCAGACCCTGTGGCATCCCCTGAGTCCCTGACTCTTCTCAGCACTGGGGATTTGAATGAGGCTCCATCCCTGCAGTGTGTGATACCTGGCTCCATGGTTGAAGCCCAAAGGGCCAGGTGACACAATCAGGAACTGTGGGACAAACTTGGATTCATCTGAAGCAGAGGGGAGCCAGCAAATGCACTCCTCGCTCTTTCTTCCTCGGTGGCATTTTCCGAGGACCAGGGTTCTGCTCAGCCTGAATGGAGCAGGCTCACATAGTTAAATGAATGTCTGGAAGGCAAAGGCTGGCTTTGTCCCGTGACATCTTCCCTTTGCTCTCCCTACTTCTGTACTCTGTTTCTCCATTCCCTCACTCGTGGTGCGCTGGGATTTTACCTCCTAATAAAGTATCCACACTGAAAGCTTGCCTCCTGCTCTGATTCTAGAGAAGCCTGGCTGAGACTGACACACGAGAAGAGGAATGTATGCAGACTCCTTGGCCAAGTTGCATGTGACAGTGAAAACCCAAACATGTCTATCAAAAGAAAGACTGGCTCTATACATTTCAGTGCATTCAAGTTATGGAATACTATGCATCCTTTAAGAAAATTGAGGTCTAGCTCTGTTGAAGGGTTTCTGAACTCTTGTTAGGTGAAATAAATAGCAGTGCATAAAAATATGATTGTTGCCTAGTTTTCAAAAGTGATGTGGGTCTTTCTGTTCCAATTTTTACCCATATATAAAAAGTTATAGAGGGAAACCTAGATGTTTCCAGTTTTTACTTTTGAGTTGTGGGATGAAGAAGGACCAGGGAATTAACAGTTATTTTTTCATTATTTACTTTATAAATTTCCATGATGTTTAAACATTTTATAAGTATATGTAATTAGATTAACTGAATATAAATAAATCAAGAGTGTGCAATATTGAATATCACTTTTATTCACAAAAGTCTTGAAGTCTGCGGTTCTGGTACACAGGAATACATACTTTACGGTTGTCCATAAAAACGGACATGTGTTATGCATTATTTTCAATTCTTAAATGTCACCTTAACCAATTATAAGATTATTGTAGATTAGGACAATATAAGAGACCACTTTTATACTCTAAAATTCTTAAATCTAACATTAACTTCTTTTCATTGAAAAAAGAGAATATAAAAAAGAGAGAGAGAATATATGATAAATTAAAGACCAGCCATAATTAACATCAGGCAGACAATAAAGAAACAGATGTGTAAGTAGAATGTGTTTGCTTTTGGTTTTGCTCTATTCCATGGAACGTTTTATTACTTCATGAATTGGGAAGGTATTTTCAAGATTAATAATCAGAGAAAATGGTGCCCTAATGTTTTTTAAAAATCTGTATTAGCAGAGAATATAAGAAGAAATTCATACTTTTTAAAGAATGTGATCATTAACTAAACTACAACATTTAACACAAAATAGGCTTTTCATAACAGCCATGCAGTAAAAAAATATAAATAGATACACTATCCTAGATATCAACTACCTTGAGTTTAAACTTTTGACTGCATTATATAGTCTGGTTGCAGATATATGCTTTCATTAAAATTTAGTGATTACCAAATATTTGGTAAGTGAAAGTCAAGTAACTCAAAGTTATGAAATTCGAGTGATTAAAATACAGAGAGCATTAACATAAAGGAAAGAGATCCAGTTTCCCTACAGACACAACTCCTCCACTGTTTCCATCAAATGATAAAACAGGATGGAATTAGCACTATGTTAAATGATAATATATACGTTCATAGCCACACAGATGCTTTTCTATGGGAAAATACAGTTCTAAATTATAGCAGGTGTACAAAATTATTATTGCCATATTTATTACTAGATAGATTTATTTTGTGTCACAAATTTGATGACATTTATAAATTTATTTAAAAATAATACAATGAGAAATTGTTTCTCTTTTAAAATTCAACTGGAAACTGATGATAATGTTTGGAAATGGTATGTAGTAATATATAACAAAATATAAAATGTATATATATTATCTTTATATCATCTATTCTATTTGTATGTCTCTGTGTGTATATAGGTATAATCTATACCTATAACTACACACATATGAGTGATTGCCCTGTTAGAAAACGTGCAAATATTACTTCATTCAATCCTCTCAAAAATCATCTGAAATTGGTTATCAATTTCTATTTTGTAGAGGAGCTGATACAGCACATGATATTTTTACAAGCTTTTTTTTTACAATTTTTACAAGCTTACACAGCCAATATTTGACAGTCACCAGTGTCAAATCTAGTTCTAACTGGTACCGCATCAAATACTTTCGACCAAGACACCATACTGTTAGTTGTGTTTTTATTCTTAGGTAATAATTTTCAATTACCTTCAGAATTAAGTAGATGATTGAACACTTGTTCATTATGCCTCAATTTAGACGAATGAAAATGATTGGTTTTTTAATAATAACGGTAACAATAATGATCCCACTAACACTAATATGAAAATAATACGACTGTCATTTTAGCACTTTGGGAGACCGAGGCAGGCGGATCACCTGAGGTCAGGAGTTTGAGACCAGCCTGATCAATGTGGCAAAACCCCGGTCTCTACTAAAAGTACAAAAATTAGTCGGGTGTAGTGGTGTGCACCTGTCATCTCAGTTTACTGGGGAGGCTGAAGCAGGCGAATCGCTCGAACCCAGGGGATGGAGGTTTCACTGAGCCGAGATCGCGCCACTGCTCTCCAGCCTGGGTGAAAGTGTGAAACTCTGTCTTAAAGGAAAGAAAATAATACGACTAATAAAATAACATACAGAGTAGGCTCAGGCATTTTTCTAAACAGTTTGCATATGTAAATTTATTTAATTCTCCCATCAACCCATTATTTCTCAATTTTGCAGGTAAGGCAACTACAGCAGTTTGGTGAGAGGTCGTTTTAAATTGCTTTTTCCAGTAAATAAGAGACAAAGTAGAGATCCAGGGAAAGCAGTGATTTTTCAAGAGCCATTTCCGCATTTAGCAGTTTTGTGAACTGAATTTAAAGGATGTACAAACGTGTAAATATCTAAGGCACTTGTAGAAACACACACACGTAGACAGTAGGGTCTTAGCTCGAAAATTCAACTCCGTGTCTTGTGGCAACATATTTAATGTGTAATACTGTAATGATATAAAATATTGAGAATTTACACTCTGTTAAATGTTGCCACATGTAGTAAAATGAATGTATTTATTAGAGGGATCAAAACACTCTTATCTTTAAGCTACTAAAAACCTAACTGCATTGAATACTAATACGGCATTTTGTTTGACAATTTACACACACACAAATCAAGGGATTCTAAACATATAACTTTTCTCAGCACCATCATTCTATTTCCAATCTGGCATTGCGACATAATAAAGTTAAGTGCAAGGTGATACAAAAATACAGCGCTGATGAAAAAAGCGAAATTATGGCTGCTCTGGGACTATCCCTTGCAATTTGCTTACTCAAAGGTAAAAAAAATTATATCCGAGGTTGGCTGGGATAGGAAGAGTGTTGGCCTCAGATAATTGCTGCCTATAAATAATTATACTTTATTGGAATGTCTTTATTTACAGGGGTGTATTTAAGTTCTGCATCTTAGTAATACCTTTCAAATAATTAAGTGTTGGCCAACTATTTAAAGAGGAAAGAAATTAATCGAATGCTCTTCAATGACAAGATATAAACAGTGGGGCAATTAATTTTCCAGAAGCACATTGATGAGTAGGGAGTGTTTATCAATTTGCATATTTAACAACCCCCAAACACTCCAGCTTTCTTAGCTTGGCAAATGATTGGAACGATGCACCATTTTTTAGTTTTTTGCTGTCACAGTGGTTAAATAAATTGTAAATATAAATAATATGTGTGTAGTTCATGAAGTTCATATCACAAGGGTCACTTTATTTTCTTAAATTCTAAGCAAAATATTACTTTCTGTATGGCTTAATTTGAGCAAAAAACAAAAACGCAATCAAAGCCTGCCGAGAATTGAGTAGTAATATGCTGAGGAAATACAATGTCTCTAGTATTTAAGATTGTTCCATATAGGTTGGTGCAAAAGTAATTGTGGTTTTTGCCATTAAAATAATGGCAAATAAATTATAATTAAGGAGGTCACAAAATGTAAAAGTTTTATATTAATGGTAAAGTTATAATTTTTAAAAATCATGAAAAGGTAAGGATCCTGTATCATTGGAATATTTTTGCTTTTCGTCCATTACCTTGTGTTTATAATAATTTTAAAAAATGAGTTTGAACGATCGAGGTTGAAAATTATTGTTTGTGTTAAATTAGTATCTTATTTTTTATTTATTTCATTGTAAATCTGGTAAAGAGAAGAGAGCATTAGAACCAGCATATGAATCTCATTTGAGGTTATGACTCAGCTACTTATAAGTTGTGTGTCATTGGGGAAAGAGCTGAGCTTCTCTGGGTTTCTATTTATTTAGTTGTTAAAAAAGCCAATAACACTTATGTTGTGGGGATTAAAAGTACCTAGCATAAAGTAGATGCTAAAATGCACTTTTTAAAGAAAAAAACAAAAGAGAATAGAACAAACTTCTTTTATCAAGATTATCTTAGAGAAACAATTAGAGAGATGTTAACCACAGGAGGTTACTCTTCAAAGACAGTAGTTGTTATTTTTGGTTGTCAGTTTGTAAAGAAATCTCTGGAGAAGTCAATAGATCACTAGATAATAAAATATTTGCAAGAGTACTAAGAACCAAGAAAGTGAAGAGATTTAATGTGAATTTCAAGAGAGCCTGGTACATTAAGTTTTTATAGAAAGCTTTTCATTTTAAATGAAATGGTGGTCATCCACCTCTTAAACAGATGTCATAAACTTTGCAGCATAGGATGACATAATTCTAGTCACTTTGAATTAGTAGTGCAGTTGGATTACTGTTATTGATGGTTCACATAGGCACAGAACCATTAAGGTGTCAAAAACTGAGAGACTTAATATGACATAATACCAGCCTTTTAAATTTAGATGTTGCTATTAAGTTACATCTCAAGGACTTCCTGTGTAAATATATTTTTAAAAAATTTTCAAGTTATCTACACAGGAAGATGAAAGCTCCTCAGTGATTTTTCTTTCAAACCTATGATTAAATTTGGTTAAAATTAAATGGAAAAAATAGGTCCCAAAATGCATAAGAAAGAAGATTAATTTTTAAAGGAGGACCTTTTAAAAAACTGGGCAATGCATAGATTGAGGTTTTGTTTGGGGCTAGGGTTGAGCTTTTCTCTCTTATATTAAGTAAATTTAGATACATTTTGCATTAGAACAAATCTGATTGATGGAAGTACCCCTCCCAATGATTATAAAAATAAAAATGCAAAATTGAAGTGCATTGTACTTAGATCTTCGTAAAAATGGAAACTGAAAAGGCGTATGCAACAGTGGAAATTGGAATCATTGCATTCCATGTTGGGGTGATGAGCGACATTCTTCTCCAAGTGATTTTCTAATATATTGTTGCATCATGTTTAAAGTACGAGGAAACCTACTGAAGCTGTGTATATATTACTCAAAGTCATCAGTTATAGGCAGAAAGAAAATGACAACCTATTGAAGCTGTGTATATATTACTCAAAGTCATCAGTTATAGGCAGAAAGAAAATGACAAGTCAGTTGCTGATTTCGTCTTGCAGTAAGTTACGAGATTCTTAATGAGATTTTCTCTTTATTCAAAACAGAAGCAGTATGTAGTATTTTCTTAGGATGAATAACATAGAAGTTTTATGTTGGTACAAGTATTTAATTTTTTAAATAAAGGACTTATCATTATGCATGAGAATGATATTAGAACATGTCATTAAAGTAAAACAAGAATAAGATTAGTTGTGTAAAATGTTATAAAACTTTGAATTTTATCACTATTACATAATTCATCCAGGTAACAGAAAACCACGTGTACCCCAAAACCTATTGAAATAAAAATTTAAAAAATAAAGCAAACACAAAAATAAAATTTTAAAATTTAAAAAATCAGACTAAATTTTCAAATTATATAATAATATTATAATATTTAAATATGTCTTTCAGAATACCAGTGTTGTAGAACAGTTATATCAAGTGTGTGTGTGTGTGTTTGTGTGTGTGTGTGTGTGTGTAGTAGAATCCAATATTTCAGTGATATTAGGCCAATTACTTTAAATGTTATATACAATGAAAAGATTACAGAGAATACAAAAATTATCTGCTTTAGCTAACGTATGAAAATAATCAAATTGTTATGACTCATATGGAAAATATACTTCGAATTTTTTAAAATTCAAAGGTAGTTTCTGCAGAGACCTTTATTTAAACCAGGTTAGTAGAACTATTAATATCTGCTTGTGTGTATTCATTGAATACAATTTTAAAATTAATAAAGCTAGTAACTATAATAATGATATAAAATAAAGATCATTATGAACTCTGGCAAAACATAATTATGATGATCACTCTGCCCATAAAAAAATCACATATGCAAAAACTAAATAGAAATCAAACAATGTTATAGGGTTTCTGAGCAATGATTTTTGTCTATTGAAGTAGATAATTAAAGGCAAATTTGTGGATATAGTAAAGTAAGGAAGTGATATTTTTTAAACCATTGAAAGACAAATACATTTTTACGTAATTACTTGTTTTTTGTTTTCATTCTAATTATATGTCGTCAATTTGGCATCATCCTTTTTTAGTTCTAAATTTGTGTGTGTGTGTCTTTGTGTGTGTAGGTATGTATTTCTCAAAATGCTAAGTATGTTATTTTGGACACTTTACTAGCAACTTGAAATTCAGTCTGTTTTGGTTGTACTTCATTATTATTTGAGGTGTCGGGAAAATCCACAGAAGTGATCAATTTAATAAAAAATACCCAGACAAAGTTTTCAACTATAATTTTATAGACTGAGTTATATAATTACACTTTTTTACTTGTAACATGGCAAAAAGTGGTCCATGAAATAAACATGCTATTAATGTAAAGCATATTGCCATATATAGACATGTACTGAATAAAATATGAATCATTTTTCAATCATGTCTTGACATTTATTTTAGGATTTATTTATGAAGAAAAATAACATTTCACTTCCTTTTTGCTTTTAATTTAATTTATACAATTTTGTGAAGGCAGAATAAAATCAAGAAAAAGTATAAAAAATTTCATTTCTTTTTCCTAAAGGATTTTCATGTTCTATTCAAATGTACTCCAAGTAAAGAAAATATACAAATCAACACATTTATCAAAAGCACAAGTTACATTGTATACATTTTTCAAAGGATAAGTCTTTTATTGTTGATTAATTAAATCTAAGATATGCACACATTTAGATTCAAATTAGACATTCTTGCTGTGTCCCCTGGGTGGATATGGAGAGGTGGGAGTGTTGTTTTTGTGAGAATATGAAGAGATTGTGCAAAATTGTTGCTAAAAAAATGCAGGAATGAGAATATGGGATACCAATAGGAATGAGTTACCCTTTTCATTAAAATATTCAACACTGAACTAAATGTTACTAGAATATGTATAAAATTTAAAAATGAATGTTCTAGAATCTGGATTCATGCTCTGGTCTATTGAGTCTCATGGGGAGGGCCAAAGGCATTCTCTTTACTTAAGGCTTGCATTCATAATAATGTTGGCCAAGGACTTCTATGATTTTATGATAATATGACAATAACTGCCATTTATTGAGAGCTTTTTATATACCATGCGCCGTTCTAAAAATTTGTATATGTATTCTCAGATAATTCTCAAAACACATGATTATTTTTCCTCATTTTGGAGATGAATAGTAAAAACTGAGGTGAAGAGAAATGAAGCACCTTGTCAATTCATATTTCTAATTATTAATGTAAACTCAGTAATTTATTATTTCATTTTTCATGATCCTAGCCACTGAGCTTTCCGGCTACTATAACAGTGTTCACCAGAATCACCAGGGACCTCACATTGTCAAGCCCAAGGGTCGCTGTCAGAGTGTGTTCCCCTTGATCTACGGGGGTATTTGCTGGTTCCCTCTTGGGCACCCTGACTTGGCTTTGTGGCCATTATCTCTCTTAGTTTCCCTCCAGCCTCTCTTGGTGCTGTGTCTCCCACGGCTCTACCAGTCCTTCCTCATGTTCCTGACTTCTGAACATCTTAAGACTTGGAGTCACACTTGGGAGGTCTTCAACTTTCTAGCTACCCCAAATCCCTTTAGGCTGTCACCGGATTTCATGATTCCAAGAACCTTTTCCAAGTTGTCGCTACTGTGTTTTTATTTCCGGCCCAGACGTCCTTGAACAGTTCCTCCCATGGCCTTGCTTATCTCAGTAAATGGCACTTGCAGGTGTTAATTCAAGAAACTTGGTGTCCTCCTTGGTTTCTGTTTTTCTCTAAAACCGTATTCCAATTTTTTATCTTATTTTAATGGTTCTAACATCAAAATATATCCACGATCTAGTCTCTTCTTACCACCTCCACTACTCTTCTTCGTCCAAACCACGATGATATTTCACTGCTTATCACTGCAGACTTTTAACCATTCTTTTTACTTTTAATGTAGTCACACATGCCTCTACCCAACACAGAGTTCATCATCTACTTCACAGCTACAGTGATTCTTTGAAAGAACTACTGCTAGCCAAATCAAGTTAATTCTCCATCTGTGCAAAGCCCTCTAATAATTTTCCATCTCATTCATAAGGTTCTGATGATGGACATTGATACTCTCACTTACAGGCTCCCAGTACCTCTGTGAGCTCATCTCGTTCACTCCTCTCTACCTCACTTTCTGTATTCAAGCCCCCCAGGCCTCGTTGAGGTTCAAGGAACAATAAACCACTCCCACCTCAGCTCCCGTTCACTCCCTGATGCCTCCTTGTCCCCAGACCCTTAGAGCTGACTCACTCCTTCCTTCCTTCTTGGATCAGAAGACGCCATTCCCAGTAGCATTTCCCTGAGCATCCTGTATTAAAACGCAATCCCTCCTGTTCAGTAACTCCAAAATCCTACTTTATTTTCATGTTCAATACTAGTTAATGCATAATATTCTATATATTTATTTATATTTGTTGCATCCCCGTTTTGAAATGTAAGTATAATAAGTGGAAAGTTCTTCAGGTTCTCCCTCTGTCTCTCTTCCTCTGCTTCTTGAGAACTAACCATTGTTTCTCACACATATTATGAAATCAATACATAATTCTTTAATAAATTTTGAGCAAAAAGTTATTTAGAGCTTTATATCTTAGACATTTTGTTCAAAATGTACATCCTTTGTACATTCTTTAACGTATGCCATATTTAAAGCAAATTAACCTATTTTTTGAGATCACTGTGTTGTTATGTGGTAGAAAATACCACAAAGTTTTAAATGCATATATATTTTAGACAAATTTTAATTATCCACAGCCTCTGTTCAAAGAACTTCAGTTGACAATCCTAAATAGTGTTTGCATTTTTCTTCGTAACATCCACCTATGTCATTTTCTCCATACCCCTCACTTGACACTAAATCGCAGACACATCATACAAACATACATAAAGGATTGCTTAGTTGTCTACGAGCACTTCCAAGAACTCTGGTCGCTTTCTTCACATGTTTCTGGATGTTTACAGCGTAGTAATAGAGTCAAGCTGCCTTCAGAAGGAACTATTGAACCCATAAAGCCTGAAATGTCAAGCTTCACATTTTTGTTTGATATGGATGTAAGTTCACGATTATGTGCATACTGTACCTTTGTTGCTGTGACTTTCTGAATGTATAGCCGCAGAGATATATTACTGTCTACAGAAGTAATGAAATAGATTAGAGCAGGTCTCTGAGATAAATGTCAGAATCTATTATCAACTTCCATTTATGTATTTGTTCAACGAACATTCACTAAATACGTACTAAATTCAAGAAACATTTCTGGCCCCTAAAAATAAGATAAGATTCTGGAGCTTTAGAACAAAAGGAGCTTTTAGAGGAAAAGGAGACATAGATAAATAAGCACCTAGAATATGTATTACAATAGTAGTGAGAACGTGAATTTTTGGCAGCACAGGTTTACATTCTTGAAACTGAGGATATCAGAGCTGAAGTTTGAGGGATGAACAGAGATTCACTATGTAGAGTCAGAGGAAGGTTTCTCTAGCAGGAGAAGCAGGGATGTGAACGTTTTTACGCAGAAATAATTATGCTGTGTTGGGGACACTGCAAATGATTACAGGAAGTTGCAATTTGGTATTATCAGGGATGTAGTGATAAATTACCAGGAACGTATGCCCATACGAAGAGCACTGTATGTTACATAAATGTATTTGTCTTTATTCCAGAGTGAATGAGGAACATTTCAAACATTGTGAGTAGGTGTGTTAGGCTGTATTAGCATTGCCATAAAGAAATATGTCAGAGACTGGGTAATTTATAAAGAAGAGAGTTTTAATTGGCTCATGATTCTGCAGGCTGTACAGAAAGCATGGCACGAGCATCTGCTCAAGTTCCAGCGAGGCCTCAGAGAGCTTTTACTCATGGTAAAAGATGATGAGGGAGCCAGCAAATTACATGGCGAGAGCAGGGCCAAGAGAGCAAGGGTGGAGTGGCACACACTTTTTTTTTTTTTATATACTTTAAGTTTTTGGGTACATGTGCCCATTGTGCAGGTTAGTTACATATGTATACATGTGCCATGCTGGTACGCTGCACCCACTAACATGTCATCTAGCATTAGGTATATCTCCTAATGCTATCCCTCCCCCCTCCCCCCACCCCACAACAGTCCCCTGAGTGTGATATTCCCCTTCCTGTGTCCATGTGATCTCCTTGTTCAGTTCCCACCTATGAGTGAGAATATGCGGTGTTTGGTTTTTTGTTCTTGCGATAGTTTACTGAGAATGATGATTTCCAATTTCATCCATGTCCCTACAAAGGACGTGAACTCATCATTTTTTTATGGCTGCATAGTATTCCATGGTGTATACGTGCCACATTTTCTTAATCCAGTCTATCATTGTTGGACATTTGGGTTGGTTCCAAGTCTTTGCTATCGTGAATAACGCGGCAATAAACATATGTGTGCATGTGTCTTTATAGCAGCATGATTTATAATCCTTTGGGTATATACCCAGTAATGGGATGGCTGGGTCAAATGGTATTTCCAGTTCTACATCCCTGAGGAATCGCCACACTGACTTCCACAATGGTTGAACTAGTTTACAGTCCCACCAACAGTGTCAAAGTGTTCCTATTTCTCCACATCCTCTCCAGCACCTGTTGTTTCCTGACTTTTTAATGATTGCCATTCTAACTGGTGTGAGATGGTATCTCATTGTGGTTTTGATTTGCATTTCTCTGATGGCCAGGGATGATGAGCATTTTTTCATGTGTTTTTTGGCTGTATAAACGTCTTCTTTTGAGAAGTGTCTGTTCATGTCCTTCGCCCACTTTTTGATGGGGTTGTTTGTTTTTTTCTTGTAAATTTGTTTGAGTTCATTGTAGATTCTGGATATTGCCCTTGGTCAGATGAGTAGGTTGCGAGAATTTTCTCCCATTGTGTAGGTTGCCTGTTCACTCTGATGGTAGTTTCTTTTGCTGTGCAGAAGCTCTTAATTAGATCCCATTTGTCAATTTTTTCTTTTGTTGCTATTGCTTTTTGTGTTTTAGACATGAAGTCCTTGCCCATGCCTATGTCCTGAATGGTAATGCCTAGGTTTTCTTCTAGGTTATTTATGGTTTTAGGTCTAACGTTTAAGTCTTTAATCCATCTTGAATTGATTTTTGTATAAGGTGTAAGGAAGGGATCCAGTTTCAGCTTTCTACATATGGCTAGCCAGTTTTCCCAGCACCATTTATTAAATAGGGAATCCTTTCCCCATTGCTTGTTTTTCTCAGGTTTGTCAAAGATCAGATAGTTGCAGATATGTGACATTATTTCTGAGGGCTCTGTTCTGTTCCATTGATCTATATCTCTGTTTTGGTACCAGTACCATGCTGTTTTGGTTACTGTAGCCTTGTAGTATAGTTTGAAGTCAGGTAGCGTGATGCCTCCAGCTTTGTTCTTTTGGCTTAGGATTGCCTTGGCGATGCGGGCTCTTTTTTGGTTCCATATGACCTTTAAAGTAGTTTTTTCCAATTCTGTGAAGAAAGTCATTGGTAGCTTGATGGGGATGGCATTGAATCTGTAAATTACCTTGGGCAGTATGGCCATTTTCACGATATTGATTCTTCCTACCCATGAGCGTGGAATGTTCTTCCATTTGTTTGTATCCTCTTTTATTTCCTTGAGCAGTGGTTTGTAGTTCTCCTTGAAGAGGTCCTTCACATCCCTTGTAAGTTGGATTCCTAGGTATTTTATTCTCTTTGAAGCAATTGTGAATGGGAGTTCACTCGTGATTTGGCTCTCTGTTTGTCTGTTGTTGGTGTATAAGAATGCTTGTGATTTTTGAACATTGATTTTGCATCCTGAGACTTTGCCGAAGTTGTTTATCAGCTTAAGGAGATTTTGGGCTGAGACATTGGGGTTTTCTGGATATACAATCATGTCGTCTGCAAACAGGGACAATTTGACTTCCTCTTTTCCTAATTGAATACCCTTTATTTCCTTTTCCTGCCTAATTGCCCTGGCCAGAACTTCCAACACTACGTTGAATAGGAGTGGTGAGAGAGGGCATCCCTGTCTTGTGCCCGTTTTCAAAGGGAATGCTTCCAGTTTTTGCCCATTCAGTATGATATTGGCTGTGGGTTTGTCATAGATAGCTTTTATTATTTTGAAATACGTCCCATCAATACCTAATTTATTGAGAGTTTTTAGCATGAAGGTTTGTTGAATTTTGTCAAAGGCTTTTTCTGCATCTATTGAGATAATCATGTGGTTTTTGTCTTTGGCTCTGTTTATATGCTGGATTACATTTATTGATTTGCGTATATTGAACCAGCCTTGCATCCCAGGGATGCAGCCCACTTGATCATGGTGGATAAGCTTTTTGATGTGCTGCTGCATTCGTTTTGCCAGTATGTTACTGAGGATTTTTGCGTCAATGTTCATCAAAGATATTGGTCTAAAATTCTCTTTTTTGGTTGTGTCTCTGCCTGGCTTTGGTATCAGAATGATGCTGGCCTCATAAAATGAGTTAGGGAGGATTCCCTCTTTTTCTATTGATTGGAATAGTTTCAGAAGGAATGGTACCAGTTCCTCCTTGTACCTCTGGTGGAATTCGGCTGTGAATCCATCTGGTCCTGGACTCTTTTTGGTTGGTAAGCTATTGATTATTGCCACAATTTCAGATCCTGTTATTGGTCTATTCAGAGATTCAACTTCTTCCTGGTTTAGTCTTGGGAGAGTGTATGTGTCCAGGAATTTATCCATTTCTTCTAGATTTTCTAGTTTATTTGCGTAGAGGTGTTTGTAGTATTCCCTGTTGGTAGTTTGTATTTCTGTGGGATCGGTGGTGATATCCCCTTTATCATTTATTACTGCGTCTATTTGATTCTTCTCTCTTTTTTTCATTAGTCTTGCTAGCGGTCTATCAATTTTGTTGATCCTTTCAAAAAACGAGCTCCTGGATTCATTAATTTTTTGAAGGGTTTTTTGTATCTCTATTTCCTTCAGTTCTGTTCTGATTTTAGTTATTTCTTGCCTTCTGCTAGCTTTTGAATGTGTTTGCTCTTGCTTTTCTAATTCTTTTAATTGTGATGTTAGGGTGTCAATTTTGGATCTTTCCTGCTTTCTCTTGTGGGCATTTAGTGCTATAAATTTTCCTCTACACACTGCTTTGAATGCGTCCCAGAGATTCTGGTATGTTGTGTCTTTGTTCTCGTTGGTTTCAAAGAACATCTTTATTTCTGCCTTCATTTCGTTATGTACCCAGTAGTCATTCATGAGCAGGTTGTTCAGTTTCCATGTAGTTGAGCGGTTGTGAGTGAGATTCTTAATCCTGAATTCTAGTTTGATTGCACTGTGGTCTGAGAGATAGTTTGTTATAATTTCTGTTCTTTTACATTTGCTGAGGAGAGCTTTACTTCCCAGTATGTGGTCAATTTTGGAATAGGTGTGGTGTGGTGCTGAAAAAAATGTATATTCTGTTGATTTGGGGTGGAGAGTTCTGTAGATTTCTATTAGGTCCACTTGGTTCAGAGCTGAGTTCAATTCCTGGGTATCCTTGTTGACTTTCTGTCTCGTTGATCTGTGTAATGTTGACAGTGGGGTGTTAAAGTCTCCCATTATTAATGTGTGGGAGTCTAAGTCTCTTTGTAGGTCACTCAGGACTTGCTTTATGAATCTTGGTGCTCCTGTATTGGGTGCATATATATTTAGGATAGTTAGCTCTTCTTGTTGAATTGATCCCTTTAGCATTATGTAATGGCCTTCTTTGTCTCTTTTGATCTTTGTTGGTTTAAAGTCTGTTTTATCAGAGACTAGGATTGCAACCCCTGCCTTTTTTTGTTTTCCATTGGCTTGGTAGATCTTCCTCCATCCTTTTATTTTGAGCCTATGTGTGTCTCTGCACGTGAGATGGGTTTCCTGAATACAGCACACTGATGGGTGTTGACTATTTATCCAATTTGCCAGTCTGTGTCTTTTAATTGGAGCATTTAGTCCATTGACATTTAAAGTTAATATTGTTATGTGTGAATTTGATCCTGTCATTATGATGTTAGCTGGTTATTTTGCTCGTTAGTTGATGCAGTTTCTTCCTAGTCTCGATGGTCTTTACATTTTGGCATGATTTTGCAGCAGCTGGTACCGTTTGTTCATTTCCATGTTTAGTGCTTCCTTCAGGAGCTCTTGTAAGGCAGGCCTGGTGGTGACAAAAATCTCTCAGCATTTGCTTGTCTGCAAAGGATTTTATTTCTCCTTCACTTATGAAGCTTAGTTTGGCTGGATATGAAATTCTGGGTTGAAAATTCTTGTCTTTAAGAATGTTGAATATTGGCCCCCACTCTCTTCTGGCTTGCAGGGTTTCTGTCGAGAGATCCGCTGTTACTCTGATGGGCTTCCTTTTGAGGGTAACCCGACCTTTCTCTCTGGCTGCCCTTAACATTTTTTCCTTCATTTCAACTTTGGTGAATCTGACAATTATGTGTCTTGGAGTTGCTCTTCTCGAGGAGTATCTTTGTGGCGTTCTCTGTATTTCCTGAATCTGAACGTTGGCCTGCCTTGCTAGATTGGGGAAGTTCTCCTGGATAATATCCTGCAGAGTGTTTTCCAACTTGGTTCCATTCTCCCCATCACTTTCAGGTACACCAATCAGACGTAGATTTGGTCTTTTCACATAGTCCCTTATTTCTTGGAGGCTTTGCTCATTTCTTTTTATTCTTTTTTCTCTAGACTTCCCTTCTCGCTTCATTTCATTCATTTCATCTTCCATCGCTGATACCCTATCTTCCAGTTGATTGCATTGGCTCCAGAGGCTTCTGCATTCTTCACGTAGTTCTCGCGCCTTGGTTTTCAGCTCCATCAGCTCCTTTAAGCAGTTCTTGGTATTGGTTATTCTAGTTATACATTCTTCTAAATTTTTTTCAAAGTTTTCAACTTCTTTGCCTTTCGTTTGAATGTCCTCCCGTAGCTGAGAGTAATTTGATCGTCTGAAGCCTTCTTCTCTCAGCTCGTCAAAGTCATTCTCCATCCAGCTTTGTTCCGTTGCTGGTGAGGAACTGCGTTCCTTTGGAGGAGGAGAGGCGCTCTGCTTTTTGGAGTTTCCAGTTTTTCTGTTCTGTTTTTTCCCCATCTTTGTGGTTTTATCTACTTTTGGTCTTTGATGATGGTTATGTACAGATGGGTTTTTGATGTGGATATCCTTTCTGTTTGTTAGTTTTTCTTCTAACAAAGAGGACCGTCAGCTGCAGGTCTGTTGGAGTACCCTGCCGTGTGAGGTGTCAGTGTGCCCCTGCTGGGGGGTGCCTCCCAGTTAGGCTGCTCGGGGGTCAGGGGTCAGGGACCCACTTGAGGAGGCAGTCTGCCCGTTCTCAGATCTCCAGCTGCTTGCTGGGAGAACCACTGCTCTCTTCAAACCTGTCAGACAGGGACATTTAAGTCTGCAGAGGTTACTGATGTCTTTTTGTTTGTCTGTGCCCTGCCCCCAGAGGTGGAGCCTACAGAGGCAGGCAGACCTCCTTGAGCTGTGCTGGGCTCCACCCAGTTCGAGCTTCCTGGCTGCTTTGTTTACCTAAGCAAGCCTGGGCAATGGCGGGCGCCCCTCCCCCAGCCTCGCTGCTGCCTTGCAGTTTGATCTCAGACTGCTGTGCTAGCAATCAGCGAGACTCTGTGGGTGTAGGACCCTCCGAGCCAGGTGTGGGATAGAATCTCGTGGTGCACCGTTTTTTAAGCCCGTCGGAAAAGGGCAGTATTCGGGTGGGAGTGACCCGATTTTCCAGGTGCTGTCCGTCACCCCTTTCTTTGACTCAGAAAGGGAACTCCCTGACCCCTTCCGCTTCCCAAGTGAGGCAATGCCTCGCCCTGCTTCAGCTCACGCACGGTGCGCGCACCCACTGACCTGCACCCACTGTCTGGCACTCCCTAGTGAGATGAACCCGGTACCTCAGATGGAAATACAGAAATCACCCGTCTTCTGCGTCGCTCACAGTGGGAGCTGTAGACCGGAGCTGTTCCTATTCGGCCATCTTGGCTCGATCCGGAGTGGCACACGCTTCTAAACAACCAAATCCTTTGAGAATTCAATCACTACTATGAGGACAGCAGGAAGCCATTTATGAGGGATCTGCCTCGGCAACCCAACACCTCCTACCAAGCCCTGTCTCCAACACTGGGGATTATATTTCAACATAAGACTTATAGAGAGCAAATACCCAAATCATATCTTTCCACTCCTGCATCCCCAAATCTCATGCCCTTCTCACATTGCAAAATAGAATCATCTCCTGCCAATAGCCCCCAAAATCTTAACTCACTTCTGCATTAACTCAAAAGTTCTATGTCTCATGTCCAATGTCTCTTCTGGAGATGAGTTCGTTCCCCCTGTGAGACTGTAAAATAAAAACCAAGTTGCATACTTCCAAGATACAATTGTGTTCCAGGAATTAGGTAAATATTCTCATACCAAAGGAAAAAAAATGGCCAAAAGAAAGGGGTAATAAGCCCCACATAATTCTGAAACCCAGCAGAGCTGTCATTAAATCTTAAATCCCCAAAATTATCTCCTTTGACTGTATGTCCTGCATCCAGGTCACACTACTGCAAGGAGTGGGCTCCCAAGGCTTTGGTCAGGTCCACTGTGGCTTTGTGGGGTGCAGTGTGGCTGCTTTCATGTGCTGGAGTTGAGTGCCTATGACTTTTCCATGACGAGATTGCATGATGCTGTTAGATCTACCATTCCTCAGTTTGGAAGGCAGTGGTCTTCTTCCCACAGCTCCACTGGGTAGTGTTCCAGTGGGGACATTCCATGGGGTTCCAATGCCACATTTCCCTTTGGCACTGCCCTATTCAAATATCTGTGTGGGACTCTACCTTTGTGGCAGCCTTCTGCCTGAGCACTCAGGCTTTCTGATACATCTTCTGAAATCTATGTGGAAGCTGCCAAGCCTCCTTTATTCTTGCATTCTGTGCACTAGCAGGCTTAATATCACACTGTGTTGAAGCTGCCAAGCTTATGGATTGCACCCTCTGAAGCAGCAATATGAGCTGTACCTGTGGCACTTTGAGCCATGGATAGAGCTGGAGCAGTGGGGATGCAGGGAACAGCCACCTTGCATTCCTGGCTTCAGAGCCCTGAGTCTCACCCATAAAATTGTTCTTTCTTTGTAGACCTCTGGGCCTGTCATGGGAAGGGCTGCCTCATAGATCTCTGAAATGCATTCCAGGGCTTTATCCCATTGTCTTGGCTAGCAGCACCTGGGTCCCTTTTAGTCATGCAAATCTCTCTAGAAAGTGTTTGCTCCATAGCCCACTTGGATTCTTCCACTAAAAACATGCTTTTCTTTTCTACCACATGGGTAGGCTGCAAATTTTCCAAATGTTTATGCTCTGCTTCCCTTTTAAATATAAGTACCAACTTTAAGTCATTTAATGTGCCTGCATCTGAGTGTAGACTGTTATAAGCAGCCAGGCCACATCATGAATGCATTGCTGCTTAGAAATTCCTTCTGCCATGTACCCTCTCATCATTCTTAAGCTCAACCTTCCACAGATTCCTAGGGCCTGAAAACAATGCAACCAAGTTCTTTGCTAGGGCCTAACATAGGTGACCTTCACTCCAGTTCCCAGTAAGTTCCTCATTTTCATCTAAGACCTCATCAGCCTGCCCATCACTGTCCACATTTCTATCAGCATTTTGGTTATAACCACTTAACCAGTTTCTAAGGATCTCCAAACTTTCCCTCATCTTCCTGTCGTCTTTTGAGTCCTCCAAACTCTTCCAATCTCTACCCATTACCTAGTTCCAAAGCCACTTCCATATTTTCAAGTATCTTTATAGCAACATCCCACTCCTGGTACCATTTTTCTGTATTAGGCTGTTTTTGAATTTCCATGTAGAAATACCCAAGGCTAGGTAACTTATAAATGAAAGAGGTTTAATTGGCTGACCTGTAGATGAGGCCTCAACTGGTGAGGCCTCATCAAGCATTCAATCATGTTGGAAGTGAAAGGGGCAGACAGTGCATCACATAGCAAGAGTGAGAACGAGAGAGAGAGGAGAGGAGCCACATACTTTTAAACAACCAGATGTTGCAAGAACTCTCTCACTGTTGCAAGGATAGCAGGAAGCCATCTATGAGGGATCAGCTCCCACAACCCCAGCACCTCCCACAAGGCCCCACCTCCAAAACTAGGGATTACATTTCAACCTGAGATTTGGAGGCAACAAATATCCAAACCATATAAGTATGTTTACTGTTATAGAACAATGCTGGCAAAAATAGATTAGAGTAAACAAACATATATGGTGTTCCCAGTTGGGAGAAAATAGCAGTTTCACAAGTAAAAGATATAAAGAGAGAGGGAATCTGATGTAAGGAAGTATACACATTAAGCCCTGCTGAGGAGGTATTACAGGTTAGACCTTAGTGACAGATCAAGCGTCCAGAGAGAGATTAAATCTATAGGGAAAAAACTTAGACTAGTGGTTTACTCAGCCTGTGTACAAGGCAGAGGGAGAATGAAGAGTGATAGCAAATGAGTATAAATTTTCTCTATGGGGTGTGAGAAATATTCTGAAATCTAATTTTAGTGATGGTGGCTTCACTCTGTAATTATCTTGGGAAACATTTAATCACACAAGTTAAAGGGGAGGGTGACTTAAAAGTACGTTCATCTCAATAGACCTGTCTTTGAAGAAGAAGAAGTCTTAAGGTTCTTGTTAGTCATATGGGTGATTGCCGATGCCACACAATGGGACTCTTAGTGAGGAGAGGGAGAGCAGGAGACATTGAGAAGTCAGGTAATCCCATAGATTATTATGAAACTCCCACATGGAGTTGGATAGGCTATTGAATGCCAACTGAAGATACAGGTCATAGGTTCTGAACCTATGGGGGTAGACTACCTCAACCCTGGAGAATGTATAGGGGAGTGAGAAGCGCCATGGATGAAATACTCAAATATCAAAAAAGAAAAAAAATAGAGGTTGACAAGGGAAGAATTTAAGAAATTGACGAAGAAGATGCAGCCAGGAAAAAAACAAAAAAGGAAAAGCAGGAATTGGTGGGATCATGAAAGCCAGTGAAAGAAGGAGCTTAAAAAGGGGGCGAGAAAAGTTGGCATGTATACACCATAGAATACTATGCAGTCATAAAAAATGATGAGTTCATGTCCTTTGTAGGGACATGGATGAAGCTGGAAACCATCATTCTCAGCAAACTATTGCCAAGGACAAAAATCCAAACACTGCATATTTTCACTCATAGGTGGGAATTGAATAATAACACATGGACACAGGAAGGGGAATATCACACTCCGGGGACTGTTGTGGGGTGTGGGGAGGGGGGAGGGATAACATTAGGAGATATACCTCATGCTAAATGATGTGTTAATGGGTGCAGCACACCAACATGGCACATGTATACATATGTAACTAACCTGCACTTTGTGCACATGTACCCTAAAACTCAAAGTGTATATATTAAAAAAAGGAAATTAACAAGGATAAAAAAATAACCACAAAAAGTGGGGGGGCAAGGGAAACAATCTTCAATGCATAAAGGTTCATGTGACATGAGGACTAAACATACTTTATTGAATTCAGCAAAAGGATGCCACTGGTTGAATTTTTGAGGGCAGTTTGGGTAAAATAATAGGCAAGCCACTAGGTTTGGGGTTGAAAGAAAATTGAGGTACTGGAACAATGAGTGCACACAACTGCTTCACGACACTCTGCACTTCATCCAGAGAGAGAGAGAGACAAAGCTAAGGGGGTAAGGAGCAAGGACTTTGTTCTGATGGAAGAGTCATAGAGAGAAAAGAAAGAGACTAAGTGATGAGGAAGAGAGGATGAAGGATTTCTACTTCGCTGAAGTCCTGGGAGAGAGTGCTGGGGGAGGAGTGGTGCAAAGGAGGGAAATGGAAGATTTTGGAAAATAACCAATGTTTGCAATTGTCATGTGACTGAAGGGAGAGGAAGCTTCCTGAGCAATCAATGAAAAAAGAGTAAAGATGTTTTTTACTAAAGGCAAGAGCAAAAAAAAAAAAAAAAAAAAAAAGATAAATTGGATTTCATCAAAATAAAAACATTTATTCTTCAAAGAGACCATTAAGACAGTAAAAACACAAGCCGTAGAATGGGAGAAAATGTTTGGGGATTGTGTATCTGATAAAGGATTTGCATCTAGAACATAGAAAGTACTCTTGGAGCTCAGTAATAAAATGACAGATAACCCAGTTAAAAAATAGGTTAATGATCTTCATATACATTTTACAAATACCAATATTCACATAAAGAGATTTTTGACGTTATTAGGCATCAGGGGAATGCAATCCAAAACCACCATGAGATCCTACTTCACACCCACCAGGATGGCAAGAATAAAAAAAGCCAAGTATAGTACGTACGTAACACAGATGTGGAGAAATTAGAACCCGCATGTCTGCTGCTGGTGGGAATGGAAAAAAGTTCAGCCACATTAGCAAAGAGTCTGGTAATTCCTGAAATGTTTAAACATAGCATCATAATATAATCGAGAAATGCCATTTCTAATATACCCATGAGCAATGAAAACATATACAGTTACATGTTACATAACAATGAGGAAATATTCTGAGAAATGCTTTGTTAGGCAATTTCATCAATGTATGAACATCATTGAGTGCACTTACTAAAACCAAGATGGTTTAGCTTCCTAGAGACCTAGGATGTATGGTATAGCCTGTTGCCCCTAAGCTTCAAATCTGTACAGCATGTTACTGCACTAAATAATATGGACAACTATAATACAATATCAAGTATTTGTGTATTAGAGCATTTTTAAAAATAGAAAAGGTCACTAAAATTATGGTATAAAAGATGAAAAATGCTACACCTGTATAGAGTACTTGTCATAAATGGAGTTTGCAACCTGGAAGTAGCTCTGTAGGAGTCGGTGAGTGAGTTATAATTGAACGTGAGATCTAGGAGATTACTGTTCACTATTGTGGACTTTACAACCGTTGTACACTGAGGGTATAGCAAACTTACAAAAAGTATTTTTTTCTTTATTCTATTGAATAAAGAAAAAAATTAACTTCAGTTTATTAAATTAACTTCACCTTATTACTTTTTTCTTTATAAACTTTTAATTTTTTAAACATGTGACTCTTTTGTAATAACACATTAAAATATGAAACACATGCACAGGTGTACAATAATATTTTCTTTCTTTATAGCTTTATTCTACAAGCTTTTTTCTAGCTTGAAATTTTGTTTTATTTTACTTTTTGAAAACGTTTTTGTTAAAAGCTAAGACACAAACGCACATTAGCCTAGACTTACACAAGGTCAGAATCATACATATCACTGTCTTCTACCACCAAATTTTGTCCCACTAGAAGGTCTTCAGGGACTATAACAGGTGTAGAGCTGTCATCTCCTAGGATGACAACGCTTTATTCTCCAATACTTCCTGAAGGACCTGCCTGAGGCTGTTTTACAGTTAATACTTTTATAAGTAGAACAAGTACCTTCTAAAGCAACAATAAAAAGTACAATATAGTAAAACTATAAACCAGAAACATAGTTGTTTATTATTATTAAGTATTATGTACTGGGTTGGGCGCGTTGGCTCACGCCTGTAATCCCAGCACTTTGGAAGGCTGAGACGGCCGAATCACCTGAGGTCAGCAGTCTGAGACTAGCCTGGCCAGCATGGTGAAACCCAGTCCCTACTATAAAAATATACAAAAATTAGCTGGGTGTGGTGGTGGGTGCCTGTAATCCCAGCTACTCGAGAGGCAGAGCCAGGATAATTGCTTGAACCAAGAAGACGGAGGTTGTAGTGAGCCGACACGGTGCCACAGCACCGCAGGCCTGGGTGACAGAGTGAGACTCCGTCTCAAAAAAAAAAAAAAGCATTATGTACTATACATCATTTTATGTGCTAGACTTTTAATGACTGGCAGCACGATAGATTTGTTTGCACCAACATCACAACAAACCCATGAGTAATGCACTGCGTTACAATGTTGGAAGACCATAGGCCATTACTAGCTCATAGGAATTTTTCAGCTCCACTATAATCTTACGTGACCACCATTGTATAGGTGGCCCATCCTTGACCAAAAGGTGGTTATCCAGCACATGACTGTATTCACACAAAAACTGGTACAACAATGTTTATGTCAACATTATTCAAACTAGGAAAAAGTGGAAACACCCCAATAGTCTATCACTAGATGAAAGGATAGACAAACTGTGCCATTTCCATACAATGAAATATTATTCAGCCAGACCAAGAATGAAGTACTAATACATGCTGCAGCATGGATGAACCTTGACAATATCCAAAAAAAATAACACAGTTGCAAAACCATACAGCATGTCTATGACTCCATTCATAGGAAATGTCCCCAACAGGGAAATCTACAGAGACAAAAGAAGACGAGTTGTTGTTCGGGCCCTGGAAGGAGAGGGTGGTGTGTGTTTGCCTTGAAGGGATGGGGGGTGGTGCTTGCTAAAGGGTACAGGGTTTCATTTTGCAGTGATGAAAATATTTAAAATTGACTATGGTGATGGTTGCATATATCTGGGAATATAATGAAACACTGAAATTTATACTTTAAATAGGTATATTGTATAGAACTTATATCTCAAGCCGTCAAAAAAAAAAAAAAAAATCCCGATAGAGAGGAATTCTATAGAAGACCTGACCAACGGTCCTGAAAACTGTCAAGGTAGGCGTGAAGAACAAGAAAAGTCAGGAAACTATCATAGTCATTGAAGAGCTTAAGGAGAAACCATGTCTAAATGTTATACAGGGTCCTCGGTGGGGTCCTGGAAGAGATAAACGATATTAGGCAAAACTGAAAAGAATCTGAATAGAGTATGGACTCTTTAATAAAATATTCCAGTATCGGCCCACTAACCATGACAAGTGTATGACACTAATTTAACATGTTAATAGTGGGGTAGTCGGGTATTAGGTGTATGGAAATTCTCTGTACAATCTACACAATTTTTCTGTAAATCCAAAAGTGTTTGAAATTTTAAAATTTATTGAAAAAGATTTATTTTTATTTGGTATCTGAAAATGTGATGTTAGTGTCATTGTTTAGGATTCAAATGTGCAAGATCTGTTGTCTGAAATTATTTATGCCAATTCTCTTAAAATCTTCTTTGAGATTCTAAAGTGCTAAAGATATAATGCATCATCAAACGCATTATTACTTTAAGCATTAATTAATTTCATATAGTGAGAGACCTTAGATTTGCATGCAAAAAGAGAGTGACTTACGAGAGAGTGGCATTCAGAAACAAAGAAGTATCTGTAAGTTCTCTTTTCACATCAAAGCTTGATACACGAGCAGAGCGTGGTGCCCTATTTTGACAAAGTTCGCCAATTATCAGAACAAGAATGCTTTTTAAAAACACAAGTTGTTTCTTCTACTGACAAATCATTAACGAAATGATGTAAGGGATCTTGAAAAAAAAATCACTACATAATCTTTTTCTCCCAATGAATAGCCTGTTTTAGAAGCACATGGTTTTTAGTTTCCAGTAAGTTTCACTATTATTCTATTTCAAGAATATTTACAGATATAGTTGATATATAAATATACGCATATATATGCCAGATATAGTTTTGCAAACACATTTGCTGTCTAATTTACTTTCTAACTTAGTTAAAAGATAAGATACCCTTGACCTGGGAAGCAAGATTAAGAATCAGAACAAGATTTTAATCTAAAATGGGACCAAGTTCAAGAAAGGAGAAATTTAAAGTGTTAGTCTACAAGTCCATGTTGTCATCCTTAGCTATTACAATTTCTAGGAATTGCTGGAGTAGTCACCAAGGCTGAGCCTCCTACAGGGGGTAGAAAAGTACCATGAGTTTAAAGCAGAATCTTACAGGAGCCTGTGGCTGGACCAAAACAGCAATGTCGGTTGTGGGAGTTGCTGTCAGGAGGCTGGTCACAGGCTCAGTCAACCAAGACAGAGAGCCGTGCTGCCAAAACCTCAAGGACAAGCCTGGCTGGGGCACTGGCTGAGTTAGTGATGGCTTTAGGAAAACCACCATGTCAGCCCTCCAAGCAAGGAAACCCATCTATAAACCCATATGCACACATCTCCTTACAGGCTGTTAGATAGTAAGGTATACATGGAAATAACAAGTTAAAGATCTTACTTCACACATTTCCAAATTTGAAAGTAAGAGCTATATTTTTTGTACAGGTCAAAAAGAAAAAAAAGATCCTGGACATGTGTTGGTACTTTGGTGCATGTGCTAGTTTTCATACACAATAGTATGCAGGACAGGAGAAAGAGATGAGGTACTCAATGGCCACGTGGAAGTTCTAACTCCTGCAACTGTTTGATTTGGGACGTAGCACAACAAACCGGGATTGGCAAAAGTGCTCATTCTGGAAAAACAAAGAAGTGAGAAAGTGGATGGCCAGTATAATGTTCTGACTCAGCAAATTTATAGCCGATTCTCTATTCTTTTGTAAGTGTATGCAAAATAGGCAAAGTTCATAGGCTAGCGTAACCTTGTCATTTTAGTTAGCCACGGTGACTGACAAAATCCTCATTAGGTAGTGGGAAAAATTCAGCTACAAATCGTATGTAAATTTCTGATGTGAATATCAATTGTCTTTAGTAAAATCCGCCCTTGTGATACTACTCACGTGATTCTTGAGCAGCTCCCTGAGCACCGGCCAGTGCTCCCTCTCTGTGCTTTCGGCAAACAGCACACCATTGTCTCCTAGACCTTGTCAAAATATTACACATCTTTCTTTCCCGTCTGTGCTTCTTCAACACTGAATGCAAAGCTCCTAAAAGAGAGCCTGGCACATGGTAGGAACCCAATAAATATTGGTTGACTATAGAAATTCTAAGAAACCACGTAGGCCAAAGTTCAACAGTGGCCAAAATACGTAGTTGAGGAGAACGTGACTTCAAAATTGGTGAATTGTCGTTCAGATGTTTTGCTGATTGCACTTGAAGATTTTTGGTTGATTATTGGTTGATTCAAGTTCTCAATGAGAGCAATGGATATCACTTGTAAACAGGATCATCCCATGTATGGTGTGTGTTGGTGTGGATATGTATCCCCTGGCTAGCTAGTGTCTACATCAAGAAAACAACCAGCACATTAACAGTGTTCGTTTTCTAAATCGAAAAATGTTGATGGCTTTCTTGTGTCTTTATCAAATATAATACTGAACAGTACAATAACCAAAATATGTAGTTAAAAATATTTGTGTAATAATGTGTTATACTCTACTTCTCATAAGAGGTGATTATTGTTAGTGATAATTTTTATATACTAATAAAACTGCTTAGGGGAGAATAAAAACACAGATATGTAATAAAGAAAATTAGATAGATAGTTTTTACATTATTTAGTAGAACTTAATTTGTAAATATGCATGTAAAATGCTAAGTATTATGTGAAAATGATTTTTAAAATGCTATAGGTCTGATTATTAAGCTTCATGAGCTGCCAAATTGACTGGTGTCTATTTGGGAAACACGAAGTTAAGTAAAACCATACTCTTGTATACTGTGGGGGTACTGTTAAGCAGATGTAGTACTGGCATATCTCTTAGCTTTTTAAATTTTTAAGGCTGGTTTGGATTGTCCCGTGAATGAGAAAACTTTTGTCAGTTAGTGAATTTGCCTGGAGAATTAATTAAGCTTATCACTGAGATGGTTTTGAAATAATCATAATTATCACTACAATTAGTTGTTTAGAGTCTAAGATAATAATGAGTAAATTCTATTTCTTTTTGATCCTAAAAAATTATATTTTTTGCATGGATTGTTTAGAAAAGACGCTTATTAAATGGAGTTACAGAAAAAGCAATCTGTGTCCATTTAATGTTGTGCACCCCTCATGGCTGGTTATTGAATCTCGAGCCAGTCGCAGCAGGCAGTCCTGACCTTGACGCGGCCAAGAGTGCTGATTGAGGCTGTTATGAGCAAAAAGATGGCATTATGCTGAGTAAAGAAAAATCGAAAATAAAAGGAGTGGGTGAAAGCTGTAGCATCCATATTCAGATCTGTTAATTTCCTATGGGAAGGGCATGAGTTTTTCCCAGTGATCTTTTCTGCAAAAAAAACAAAATGTATCAATAACGGCACTATCTACTGATGCTGGAGGACATTTAGGTAAACAAAAACACCGAGTCCCCAAATGCTAGTTTTAGCTGGAAAATGTAACCTTACTACTTGAAATTACCAGGTGCCTACAACTAACACTTTTTTTTCCAGTGCTACGTGTAGTAGAACTTGACTCATATTTGGTTGAAAAAATATGATTTGTAAATCAAAACCAGTGTCAGCTCTTAGACAAACACTTCATGCATTATTTTTCCCCTAAAGATAGAAAGCTGAGGCATTTAACATGCATGCAGTGACCGTAGTCTACAGGCTGAGAGCATCCTTCTCAAATGTCTCACAATCTCATTTTTCCTGCTGATTCATGAGAAACACACTTTCCGTTACAGCTTTCTCTATCTTAGCTTCTGAACTAACTCCTGTGCACCCAGAAAAGAGCTCACTGGGTGTGTTAGGTAAGGCTTTGTTAAATTGCGGTTGACTCCAAATTCAGGGTTCAGCTCTCCTGTGCTTCCACTGATTCTATTTTACGTTGTATCAGTTTGTTCATTCAACGGATACGTTCCAGAGACCTCTTATGTACAACCTCACTGCACTGTGATAGGCATTGTGTAAAACAGAATAATATATTCTGGAAGAGTAGATAAAACACATACCAAAATAATTACAGTGAAATTCATTTAATAAGATTCAGGCAGAGTTCCCTAGGTCCATAGAAAACAGAACTCCTGGCTTGGACAATGGAAATGTCTCCTGGAATTGGACAGTACCTTTAGATTGGGCCTTTATGATGGTGAAGACTTGGAGGTGCAGAAATAGGGGAGTTAGATCGATTAGTCTTTGCTACTTTCCTTTATACACACAATTTCTCTCTCGGTTTTGTTGTTGTTGTTGTTGTTGTAATCTCTCCAAATGTACTGTAAGGAAAGTCATGAAAACAATGAAGGGTTCTTAAGGTCGTAATCATCCCTAAGGTATATATTTTAATAAGATACTAAGTTTTGAGCCTCAGGAGTGAATCTCTGGTGGTAGAAATACTGGTACAAGTACTGGGCCATAGATGGGATGTTTTTGGTTAGGGAGACATCGTATTCCCCTAGAATCACAAGATGCAGGAAAGCGCCCTGTTCCATCTATAATCAATGTAGTGGTTTGGAATGTTCCTGCCCAGGAAGAAGACTGGTAGTGTACCCTTGGGCATGTTTGTTCATTTCCTCGACTCTCAATTCGCACATCCTAACAAATGAGTCTGGTTATATTTAGCTTTAAGAGAGTAAATTAGCATCTCTTATTTTGACTTCACTCAGTTGATGTTAGAGTCCTGGAGTAGCATGTTAGATGACTATTCAACAAGCTCTGAACACAAAGGAAATGAGAATCTGCTGATTTTCACATACACTGGTCATCCAGGATTATATAACCTTTAAGATTTATTCCAATTCTACGTTTCCATTGTTCTATTGATAAGCCTTTAAGCGTTGAAAAAAGATTTAACAGCTACGCTACTTTGAGAAAGTGACTCACTGTTTTGAAATTGTTACCATTAATGTGTAATGTGACTATTAATTTCTGCTTTTCAATGCTAGCATAATAAATAACATTCAAAAACTCTTTTGTTCTAGTAGCATCTAGCTCATAATAATTGTTTTTATTAAAATTCCTGAGTTCTAGAGGCTACTGTCCAACAGAGAAGAACACTACTGAGTGTGGTTTTGCACATAGGCACCCGGGTTCCCTGCAGCAGGGATACATGTGCCCTATGCTCAATATGGCTCCTACGTTGTGACCCTTAGTGCTCGCTGTAAGTGAACACTTGCTACATTTTTTAGTAAGTCATTTCCTGAAACTATCCATTGCATCTGACAACTCATGAAAGATTACCAAAATGCAGTTTAGAGCATAATAACTATAATTGGGCTTGCATTTGAAGTTTTAAAGATTGCAAAAGGGGAATAAAAATTAAGAAGAAGTTTTAATTTAAGCCAAAGTCAGATATTAAAAGTCCATTGTAGAATTCTGGTAAATAATTTTTCCAATGGAAGGCCAAAATTCAATGCATCTGGAAGATTCATATTTATATGAAAATAAGCTTTGACTTCCCTGGTTCCCTTAATTCCCACACTCAATTCACCTGTTTACAGCTACAATTCTTTTCATGTGTGTCTGGCTTATGTTTTCAATAATACTGCAAGTTCTAAGGCGGTTTGGCTGGTGCCTTGCACCTTTTTACATCTCTCATACAGAATGGTACACATAGGTGACGTCCAGGAAATTTACATGTTGATTGAAAAGCATCTCTCTCAGCTCCCTTGAAAAATTGCTTTTTTCTAGGGTTTCCCTATCAATTAGAGGCAGGACAAAAATGCATTCAGGACAGTTATATCCATTGTTCTGAACTTTTTTTTTTTTTTTTTTTTTTTTTTTGAGACGGAGTTTTGCTCTTGTTGCCCCGGCTAGAGTGCAACGGTGCGATCTCGGCTCACTGTAACCTCCACCTCCCAGGTTCAAGCGATTCTCCTGCCTCAGCCTCCCGAGTAGCTAGGATTACAGGCATGTGCCACCACGCCCAGCTAATTTTTGTATTTTTAGTAGAGACAGGGTTTCACCATGTTGGTCAGGCTTGTCTCCAACTCCTGACCTCAGATGATCCGCCTGCCTCAGCCTCCCAAACGGCTGGGATTACAGGCGTGAGCCACCGCGCCTGACCTGTTCTGAACTTCTATATGATTATTTTCTTAAATCTCCTATTTATATTTCAGCGTAATGGTTTCATGGTTTGTATTTGACCTTTGTTTTATGTATGACACATTACTTTTTATTTTACTTAAGAAAACTTAGTGACTTGTCCAGTGGTATTTCCTTTGCTAGTTTATTCGTTTAACACTGAACACATAACATGTGGTAGGGATTTGTTATATTTTTAGAATAAAAAGGGCAGAAAAGGTGTGGTCCCTGCCTTCAAGAAGCTCAGTGGTTCCAAACTGTAGAATAAAGTAGTTCCAAAACCAGCATAAGTCTATGATTGTTTTCAATATGTTTAAAAATCTTAAGGCTAATCAATAACCAAAGGCTGCATTGGTGAAGTGAAACATGCCATTGCACTTGTTTCCCTTTTATCTAGATATATCAACATAATGTATAATATTTGCTTTTGCAAGGAGAGGAGAAGCTCTGACCATTATTTATATATGCATTCAGTAATAAAGATTGTAATACCAATTGTTTCTGCAGTCGACAAAGATCCTTTAGAGCAGGTGCTCTTCTCAAGGCAGGAAAGAATACAGGAAGAACGTTGGTGCTGACAGGGTGGAGCCAGGGGGCTGACGGCAAACGCTCAGTTAAGAGGACATGCTCCTTATCGGACTAGCCCAGTGCACTTGTTTTTTAAAAGTATAGATTAGGGATATTTGTATTCACTTTACAGTAGTGGTGTTGATTGAGACACGCAAATATTAGGCACTTAATAACAAGAATGTATTTTTATTAATAGTGGTAATGATTACTCATGATTCTATACTTAATCCTACCTGGTATAAAAGCCCTGTGCATAACGACATGGACATTTTAATAGTTTTGTCTATTAGTGGGCAAAGAGAAACTGAAAAGCCAGTGGTCTTCAGAAGATAAAAAAGTTGTCTCTTGCAGGCACTGAGTAATAACAGGCACCTTTTTTGGGACACGTCACTCAGAAAGTATAGCAATGCTCATTCGGTAATGTAATTCTGCTGTGTTAAGCTATATTTTCTTACATTTGTTTTATTTCTTCATATTTTCTTTCTCTGGGAAGTTTATTTTGAAAGCTGCTCCTTCAGCAAGTCTCACCACCATAACTTAATTTACTTCATCGAATAAAACAAAAGACCTAACGTGTTATATCGTATGTTTTCAGAACTGACTATAGTCTTCAACATATAAGTGGTTAAAATGTTTTCGACATATGTTCAACATTAGTAGCAAGTAATCGGCTAGTTTCATACAGTTATCATCATTGCATTACAGATAACAGTTAACAGCTGTGCTGAATAGAAGGTGGAAGAGTAACAGTAGCAAAACATCTTAAAGCAGGAATACTTTACCTGAAAGGGCTATCAGCTGGCGATGTGATGGTGGCAGAGGAAAGACTCATAGACCATGATCAGGGATGAGTGGAGGGGCCACGACGCAGGTGCAGGTGATGTGCATAACAGCCTTAAAGAGTCCACAGCTGGCAAGTGCCTCCGTGGAGTCTAAGTGAGTGGACAGGTAGGCTCTTCCCAAGCCTATGGATGCGGTCCACCGAGGAAAGCCATAGCTGTGAACCCCAAACCAGGCTTTTGTGCATGCAGGACAAAAAGCACCTGTAAGTTCCACATTCCTATTTTACACTTGCAAACACTGAAGACTTTTGGTCTCCGGGTCTGTGTTGTAGAGTTGTATTGAGGAGACGCGCAGGAGGTTAGTTGTTCCTCAGAATAGCTAGTACTAAGAATTGAAAGATATACATTCTAGCATGCAAACATCAACTTTACTAAGATGATTTTTAACGATATTTAATTCAAAAGGTCTAAATCTGTTGTTTATGCTTTTCTGTGGAAGGTTTTTAAAATTCGAGGCTATTAAACTTTGTATAGTTATTACCAAAATTGTACTTATCTTTGAGTTCATGAGAAGTGAGAATTCTGAAATCTGATGTCTTAGTTTCATGCCCAACCATGTGTGAGGAACAAGTTCTTCTTAAGTGAAGTATTAAACAGAAAATAACTATGTTATTTCATCTCTTGGGCCGATCGTTGTTCATTTTAGTGGTCCATTCTTGTGGAAAAAGAAATTGCTCCCAGAGCCCCAGAAAAAATCACAGTTGTTAGCTGAGTTAGGATTTTTCAGTGCAAATGTCATTCTAAATGTCTAGCAACTTTTTTTCAGAACTAGAAATACAAAGTAGAATGTGTAAAGTGTTGAGCTAACTGTGATGTGATACTTTGACATAATTATGAAATATATTTGCTTGGTTGTATGCATTCATTGCATATGCTATCTTATTTCTTGTCCCTTCTGTCTGCTATAAACAAATAGATGAATGAATGAATGACTAGATAATTGGGAGACTGAAGTTAGGTGGTTTTATTAAAAGGAAGTTTGCATATTCAGAGTGACTCATGACAGAGCTTCCTTCTTGGAACCTGATGAAGGGAAAGAAGGATGGTTTTAGTTACGACACACAGCTTTTGAAGAAGTCGTGGAGTTTGAGGTGGGAAACTGACTCAGAGGAGTAAAATACCAGGTCAGAAATACAAAGCAGACAGGCAAAAAACCAATTCCAAAAAGTTATACTGGCAAAACCACAAGTCTGAATGTTAAGGAGGCAAAATAGGTAGAAGTAATTGTTTAAAAAAATTATGAATTGCTGAATTTGTCAAATTTGTCTTTCATAAAATAAGTTTATGTAACCTTTAGAGCTTAAGTTCTGGGCAGTAGAACAAAAGATTGCTACTGGAGATAGAGCAAGAGAAACAAGAAGTGTCACATTCACATGGAAGCACTTGGTTTGGGAGCCAGTGTCTGTCGGTTCCGACCAAACTCTGGGTGGGAGGTCTGCTTCCTTGTTAGTCTTCATTTGAGCCGATGGCATGAAACAAGGGAGGCTTGGGCAAGTGTCCTCTGCAAATAAAGGTCTCTTATAAATGCTTCTCATCCCACCTCCGCGTCTGCAATAGAGCTATTGTTTTGCAATAGCATGTTTCCATCTGCCAAAGCACAAACTGATTGTTTATGAATATATCCTCAACATGCACCCCCACCCAGGTGTAAGCAGGTAAAAGCGGAGTAAATGCTTTGCCCCATCAAGGGAAAGTTATGAGACAGAATCACATTTGTTTGAAGCATCTTCATCAGGGCAGTTTCTTGTTTCCCTTCCCTCTGGTTTGAGCTATGCTTAATTACCATAGAACAAATATCAGGTTGCAATCTTCTATTTATTTTTCTATCTTCAATAATTGATTGCATAGTCTTTGAGGCAAAGCTACCCTGTTAATTTTATTTCCATGAACGCTTACGTTAGCACAGTGACTGACGTCTCCTGACACTTTGACACTACTTGCTCAGTCAATAAGTGAATAAAACCCAGAACGAAACCCTAAGGAGATCTCAAAGGATTGAAGAGCGGGGAGAACACTGCACACAAGCTAACTTCCACAAGTAGCAGAAAGCTATATTTCCCCCTTGCTTTAAAAAAAAGTTTTACTGTTTTTCTTTATTCTCACTAATTTTTATTACCGGCAAATCCACTATGTCCCTTCCTGGTCACCCATTCACACTGCCTTGCCTGCAGTTAGCTCCTGGGCCCATAGAACAGAGAGAATGGAGCTGCTGCCCCCTGCTGGCTTCACAGGCAATGCCTCAGTGAGCATTGCTAGATTGTGTCTATATCTGTCTTTTAGTTTATTTTTATTTTTTTTTAATTTTGGGGTTCACGTTAGGTGTATATATTTATGGGGTACATGAAATGTTTTGATATAGGCATGCTATATCAAATAAGTGCATCATGGGGAACGATATATCCATCCCAGCCGGCATTTATCCTTTGAGTTACAAACAATGTAGTTATACTCTTTGTTATTTTTAAATGTACGGTTATTACTGACTATAGTCACCGTATTGTGATATCAAATAGTAGATTTTATTTATTCTAACTTTTTTTTGTACCTGTTAACTATCCCTACCTCCCCAGCAACTCCCTACTGTCCTTCCCAGCCTCTGGTAACCATCCTTGTATTCTCTATGTTCATGAGCTTAATTGTTTTGATTTTTAGATTCCACAGATAAGAACCAAAGCTGCAAAAAGCTATACTTTTGTGTTTGCCTTTCTGTGCCTGGCTTATTTTAGTTAACACAATGATCTCCAGTTGCATCCATGTTGTTGCAAATGATAGAATCTCATTCTTTTTATGGTTGAATAGTACTCCATGGTGTCTATGTACCACATTTTCTTTATCATCTGTTGATGGACACTTAGGTTGCTTCCAAATCTCTGCTATTGTAAACAGTGCAGCAGCAAACCTAGAAGTGCAGATTATCTCTTGATGTGTAGATTTCCTTTTTTGGGGGGTATATGCCCAACTAGATGATATGATAGCTTTACATTCTTCCCAATAGTATGTAATGGTTTCCTTTTCTCCCCATCCTCACCCGCATGTGTTAGTGTCTTTTCAATTTAGACATAACATTATTTGGATCTATTAGAAATCAGATTACTTAGTGAAGCCCTCATTAATTACCACTTCTTTCTGTCCCAGAGCCCTGTCTTATGGGTGGTCTCTTAACAACAACAACAACATCAAGGCCAGAGCCCTGTCTTCTGGGTGGTCTCTTAACAACAAAAAAAGGCCATCTGTTCTACAGAGTTTCCTTTCAACAGCCATGGAGGTTTCCCATTAGAACTCTACACAGCAGCAACCATAGCCTCAGACAGAGTGAGAGGTGGCTCTAAGCTTTGGGCTCATTTCTTTGGAGACAGCGTCTACTTTTTTTTTTCTTGGCTGAAACTAACACAGGGCCCGATTACATCAGTGTGTCCACACAGGAGTCAAGACTCCTGTGGAGACATGTACTTTGATATCTGGGGGTTTAGACCTTGTGACTTCTTTGCTCCATGATAGAAAGGTGGAAGCGACGAGATGAATAAAAAACTAAAATTTCAAAGCATCATTAAGTACTGACTGCCTTTTAAGAGTAAGAACAAAAGCAGAGTATACAGCTTGTACTGCATACTAATCAAAACTTATTCATAAAGTTCAAGTTCAAACCTCTCTGTGTCTAAATATTTTCATTATTTATTACAATTAGCATATGCATGATTCATGTTAGCTGTCTGCCGTATTCAAGAGCGCCAGTCCTATGGAACAGCACTTAAGGAGAATTTGGACAAATCTCTTCCCCCTGGCTGGTGATAACAATCCCAGCTGAGGCGTCAGTGTCAGTCAGCAAGATGTGGCATGGCTCCACATAGAAGTCTTCATAAGACATGGAAATGGTGCACTGCTAAAGTGTGTTAATTAACATCTTAGGGGAAGAAGGTAGTGAAAATTAGTCTTCACGTTATAATTTGAAAAATGAGTCATGGTAGTTAATTAACCTATCTAATACCTCAAGGTAGATGAATGCCTGAATCAATTCACAATTAACGATTTAAATAACCCCAGTTTTAAAGTAGCCTTATAAAACCTATATTTCAAATTGGAAAGCTGAAGCTCTGACAGTTGATCTTTTCTTGCATTACTTGTGTATGTCCAATATTCTAAACTGTGAACTCGTTTGAAGGCAGAAACCATCTCTATTTATTTTTCACATCCTAGTTAGAATCTGGTAGGATATTTTACATTTAGAAGGTACCTAATTAATTCTCAAAATATAAATTAAATTTCCCTCCTTTGTACTTATAATCTGTACTTACATTTCCAAAAAGAGAAAAAGAGGCAGCATTTAAATCAACCAACACTTAGTGACCATAGTAGTTGGCTTGATGTACAAGTAATTCCATGTCTGGATACTTGATGAGATATAACACTGTTGAGAATTACTCACTTTTGCAGCTGCAGTACCTAGCATGGTGTCTACCACCTGAGAGAGATTGGGTAAATGTTGAACTAAAATATACTGACCACAATCATTGTGGCAAATAAAAGAAAAATGTTACATGCAAACTCACCGATGTCTTTCATTTCATCACCTGAGCAATTCAGGTTATGCATATGCAAAATGTAGATAAAATTTGTGTTAGGATAATTCCAAAATCTCTGTGTGCTAACTTAACCACCCTCAGGTTGCTGACTGTCCACTGGATTTGCGTACCTCATTGTTTCACAGGCATCTCAAATTCAACATAAGAATCCACTGTCTCTCCCTTTAGTTCCAAAATAACTAGTTCTACCTCTTGTCTCTTAATGTTTGCTAATGGTGAAATCATATGCTCAGCTTCCCAAATTACTAACCTCAGAATCTTTCTGGAATATTACCTCTTTGCATTGACCCTCATGGTCAACCTGTCTCCACTCTTTTCAAACGTAATCTCCGACGATGTTTGTATTGTAACCTCTCCTTAGTATCCCCACTGCCACTGTTGCAATTCAATCATTTATCTCCTCTCTGACGCTAATAAATAAATACCTCTTGATTGTCCTTCGCTTCATTTCCAACCTTCTCGGGTCCATCTTGCTCACTGGGTCTAGAGTTGCCGCCTTAATAATAAATGATTCCCAGGTTTCTAATATCTATAGGGCAGTGAAGAAACGCTTTTGTTTGTTATGTGAGAAATGTCATCATTTGTTCCCCCAATACTGTGATTTTTTTTTCTTTCTTTCTTTCTTTCTTTCTTTCTTTCTTTTTTTTTTTTTTTTTTTTTTTTGAGATGGAGTCTGGCCCTGTCGCCCAGGCTGGAGTGCAGTGGCGCCATCTCAGATCACTGCAAGCTCCGCCTCCCGGGTTTCCGCCTTTCTCCTGCCTCAGCCTCCCAAGTAGCTGGGATTACAGGCGCCCACCACCACGCCCGGCTAATTTTTTTGTGTTTTTAGTAGAGACGGGGTTTCACCGTGTTAGCCAGGATGGTCTCGATCTCCTGATGTCGTGATCCGCCCGCCTCGGCCTCCCAAAGTGCTGGGATTACAGGAGTGAGCCACCGCACCTGGCCTTTTTTTTTCCTTTTAATTCATTCTTCTTTTTCACTAGCTAGCTACTTCCTCTGCCATTCTTTATCCTGGACCACGTTGTTCTCATTCTTTTTGAACTCGTATTACTTCGTTCTTCCCTTCTATTGGTTGTTTTCAGAAAGCTCACCCTTATCTTCATGTGTTGATCCCTTACAACTCAGCTCGAACTTCACTGCCTGCCTAAAAGTTGCGTGAATACATGGGCATGTGCCCACTCAATCCTCTTTGCTTTTTTTTCATAATATTGTTAGGACTTAGAGCTATATTGCTTATATCTCTCCTAACGTATATCTTCCTACAGATGATGCGTTCTTGCCATCAAGTAAATCTTACCTGTTTTTCTGTTCCCAGTATGTAACGTGTAGCACATAAATGATTTTCGGTAGATACTTGATGTCCTACCTTCTAAACATATTTTTCTTCCCTCTCCTTACCACGTTCAAATATGTATTGTCTTCTAAAATTACAGATTTAAACCTGACATAACACATCCTTGTTTTATCTGTATGAATTAGGTGTTTAAAAACTTTCAATTATGTAACAAGAAACAAAAGGAATTCATTTGAATATCTCTAGGAGTCCAATAGTAAAATTACATTGCTAATGGTGGCACCTACTGGCCACGTACGATATTGCATCCCGGGTCTATTTTTATAAAAATGGGGTCCTGTGAGAGACTCTTCAAGGTGCTAAGATAGTGAAGACTAGTCAGGGGCCGCTGTGGAATCAAGGAGGTGGGTGGTGAACACCAATCCAAGTGACATGTACGGTTTGTTATTTACAACCTTCACTAGAGTACAGAGCTAGCCAACGTAGCCAACTTGCAATTGATTGGAAGTCTCCCTTTTAGTCAGCTGATCTATCCTTCCATGGGATCATATCCTAAGATAACGAATAGAAGTCAATGTAAATCAGGAGTTTCTTTAAATAGGTTTGAAGAGTCACCCTCCTTCCACTAGATATTGATCCAGCTCTTGCTGTGCAGGCAACACTCTACGTAGTGTTGTCTACTCTGTTGCAGAGATACAGTATCAGCGGAGAAAGTCCTTGCTTTCAAAAATCGTGTGCTCCATTTGGAATATCACAGTTTATTATAATGACTTATCTACTTAACAGCAACTGTTAGTGGGTGATAGGGTTTGGCTCTGTGTCCCCACCCAAATTTCATGTTGAATTGTAATCCCCAATGCTGAGGTAGGGTCCTAGTGAGAGGTGATTGGATCATGGGGGCAGATTTTCCTCTTGCTGTTCTCATGACAGTGAGTTCTCTTGAGAGCTGGTTGTCTGAAAGTGTGTAGCACTTCCTCCTTCACCATTGTCTTCTGCTGCCACATGAAGACATGCTTGCTTCCCATTCGCCCTTCTGCCATGGTTGTAAGTTTCCTGAAGCCTCCCAGCCATGCTCCTGAACAGCCTGTGGAATTGTGAGTCAGTTAATCCACTTTTCTTTATAAATTACCCAGTCTCACATAGTTTTTTTTATAGCAGTGTGAGAATGGACTAATACAGTGGATATCAATTTTACTCTCAGAATGACGAATAAATGAAAACTCAAATACAGATTTAAATCCAAGTTAGAATTGGCAAGTGGTATATACTTTCCGCATAAGATGTTCTAATGTAAGCTATTGAAGTGATGAAGGTCGGTCCATTTATTTTAAATCAGAAATGGTGCCCAGGGCAGGCCAGGAATTTCCTTGATGAAATCAGACAAGAGCTTTTAGAATCAAGGGTACTAAACTTAGAGTGCTTGAGCTAGTTCGGAGCTTTCTGTTATCTAGCAGTTCTCATACGCCCTCACACACATGCACCTGCTTTTATCACAGGGTATGAGATGACTGACCCTGAGGATGAATGTCTCGGCTCTCTGGGTCCACTTTTTAATGGTTCTAAGAGTTGATCCAATCAGTAATCTCTCTCCACTTTAATTTCTTAACAATTAAATGGAAATCTTTGTTACATTTACCTGAGAGTTTTCTTTGTGAGAAATATGAGAATATATATTTAAAGCATTTAGCAGATAGATTTGACACTTACTATAATCCCTAAGTGTCAGCTAGTAATAATTTTAACCACAAGCAGACAACCAATCATTTCTGTAAAACCTTGCATACCTCATGCCTCCATGTTTTAGCTCACACAGTTCCTTCTGCCTAGAGAAGTCCCCTTACTTATTTACATGAACAATTTGTAATTTTTTCCCTGGCCACAGCGCCTCTTCTCCAAAGTCTTCCTGATGCTCTTAGTAGATGTCAATGTCCACTGTATCTTTCAGTCATGTGTCAAGTTCATTGCCACTGTAGCATACCACTCAGGCATTGCATCTCCGTAAGAATCTGTCCATCTCCTCATGTGCGCTAAGGACTGAACATCTCAGGAAGAACTAGAATCACAAACTTCCATTACTGGCTAATGTCCTCATCCAAATCCCAGCCTCTCACCTCCCAAACCCTCCCACACTCAGGGCGTTCCATGCATGTTTGCTGATGTACGTGAGTGTAATTAAAATACCAGGAAAACAGAGATACATGCCAGTTCAGTGAACAGTACACAAAAGGTTCCCGAAGAGAAGGGTAGATAGAAGCTTTGGTTGGTTCTGGTTTGATTGTAAGGTAACATGTGGCATTGCTTGGAGGAAGCTCCTTTTGAAAGTGACTATGTGTGCAGTGGGAATTTGGAGTTCCCCTCACTTTTTCTCCCAGACAAAAATTTTAAATCTCGAAGGTCCCAGCTTTCAGGGGAGTGTGTCTGCTTGTGTCAGCTGCTTCCTCTTCATCCTCATCCTTGCACCTTCTGGATGTGGCACACACTGTGCTTTGTCTTTGAGTGTCAGGGGAGGGGGTGGGAGATGCTGGTCCCTGAAGGGGACCTGCTGCAGTCATCTCCCTAAAGTTGTAGGAATTGGACTAGAACCCCAAGGCCAGGTACAGGCATGTGTTTGTGAATGTCTAGTAAATATTTATTGACCATTTCATTGAAGTATGAACAAAAATCAGAGTATCATCATTCCATGACCTTTCCAAAGCGAAAGAAAGAGTGTCACCAGGTGGCTGTGGAGTCAACAAACCTTGGCATGACATTTTGTAAGAGTTCCTTAAACCCTTGGAGACACATTATCTTCTGATATTAAAAAAAAATATGTACCATGCAATGAGCAGCATCTTGACAAAACTCTAAGATGATAGTGTAAAATGCTTGGCACATAGAATGTACTCCATAATGCATATGGATATTTGTAGTTATTCAATAAATGACGGCAGTTTTGTCCTTTGTCATTGTTTTATTCATAAGAATAAGGATGTTAATTATAAGGTATTGCAGTAATTGCTGAAGCACTAGGAAGAAGATGTGATCCAAAGTAAAGACTCCCAGTGGAGCACTAATTTCCCAGTCAAACCTACAATATGCTCTTGTAATTCTCCCTCTTTTTGTCAGGTGTGGAAAATGAAAGGACATCTGCCAATAGTTGCATTTTTCAGATTCTAGATTCTTTGTCCATTGAATAACGGATGATTTAACGAAGTTTTACAGTTTCTTTTTTCCTAAGGCATAGGTAAAATGGAAAAAACATCCCTCCCACTTTGAGTTCGCATGGTTGGAGTTGAAGTAAAGGGTAGATCATCCTGTTATTCACCAAGTGCTTTGTGCAGCCCTTAAAATGAAGGGCCTCTAAATGCCTCGTTGATTAGCTACCTTTTTCTTCAGGCAGCAGATAATTTCTGGGTAACATAAGGAAGTTCACTGAAAGTTCATTAGACTCTATTCTAGAGGAATCATCTTGATTTTCTTTTTTCCCAGAATTTCTTCACTTAGCTGATTTCTCTTTCTTTCCCTGCTCATTCCACATTAACCTCACAGTAGGCTGCACTTGACTCTGGAATGACCTATGCTTATATTTCTTAAAGTCCAATGGTTCCAATTAAGCGAAGATACAATGACACAGGGTTGCAATACAGTGTTGCCATTGGCATTAGTTGGCATGCATTAAGTGGATTTTTCTGTGACCTCTTAGCAATAAAAAACTACCACGATCAAGTCATAGTTTGTTCTATGTATCTATGTGTTTGTCATCTATCTAATTTGTAATGGCTTATGATGTCTCCTCTTGACACACAAACTGCAATCTCCTGGTAATCCATTGTCAGGCAGTAGCTTCTTGATTCTTCTATGATGACAATCTAGCAAAAAGACAGATCCTAAGTCATTATCTGAAACGGTAAGTGTTCCTCCAAACATACAAGTTCAGTTATTGTCAATTATTTTACAGATAAGTGTTATTTTTTCACAGCCATCAATTATCTCTAATGTGTCAAATCTTGGTAGATGCTGGCAGTGAGAAATGTAGGAAAAAGAAAGGAAATAGAAACCTCATGGTTCCTTTCTTTACCAAGCTTGAATTCATTTGGGTGTTGTGGCATAGGGTTGAGGTGAGGCTGAAAATTAGAAGCACTTTGTCTGTTTCACAATCCCATTGCTGTAAACAAGACTCTTCTTGTACTGTCAGATTTCTCAGGAGTGATTCAGGGCCTTTGCAGAACTGAGTTTCCAAGAATGTAGCTCTTCAGTACCTGGGTATCCCTGGCCTAGGCAGGACGTGCACAGGTATAAGTCCTTGTGATTAGTGCCTTAGAGAAGGACAGGCAGTTCATCACGAGAGCACGGAAAGACAAGCTGTCCGATATGTTTGTAAGCAAAATTTTTGTGTGTGTTTTCTTTCTACATCAGAAGGCCTCTAAACAGGGCAACGGTGGCATTACCTATAAGGACTCATTCAAAGTAAACTTTGTACCACTCTGACCAGCCCCTTGTCCCCAAGGTAAAGCGATCACTGACTGCTTCTTGCTGTTCTTTAGACCATTAACTAGGTGGGTGTGAAACAGCTACATAAATGTGAGTTTCTTTTTTTTTTTTTTTTTTTGAGACAGGGTCTCACTCTGCCATCCAAGCTGGAGTGCAGAGGTGCAAAGATGTCACTGAAGCTCCCACATCCTGGATTTAAGCGATCCCCCCTCCTCAGCCTCCTGAGTACTTGGGACCACAGGCATGACCACTGTGCCCAGCTAATTGTGTAAATTTTCTATAAAGATGAGGTTGCCATGTTGCCCAGACTGCTCTTGAACTCCTGGGCTCAAGAGATCCTCCTGCCTCAGCCTGGTAAAGTGCTGAGATTACAGGTATTAGCCACTGCACCTGGCCTTAAATGTTAATTTCTACTGCTGAGTTGAGATGTTCAGCAGTAAAAGGTATGACTAAGTCATCTTTGTATCTCTACGTTTTTAGCTTTTAGCAGAGTGTTGCCCAGTATAGACACGTAATGTAGGTTAAATGAAAACATAGATTAATATAATGGTTTGATGGGATAAAGCTTATGACTAAATATTGTCAAACTCTAACTGAAAAAATATTAAAATGGTTAATGTTTTAAAATTCTCATCTAAACAACTTGAGCAGTCTTTATTAGAAGATTGAAAGGAGAAATTACATTGGCTGTGGAATTGCAACAGGCAGGATCAATCATAAACCAAAAGGACTGAAACAGATATTTTAACCATTAGCCACCTCTTTGTTAAATGCAAAATGTTAGTGGAGAAAGGTAACCTATTAAGTTATCATTACTTTTCAATATCATAATGTATCTCTAATAATAATAATTAGTGCAGTTTTGATAAATAATCATGTGTCAGGTTACTATTACAGGAATTACTAGCTCTATGGTTTGGGGATGGTTAATTAACCTTTATGAACACATTAAGTACTGGGACGAGGATGTGGAACGCATATCATGATTATTCTGATGAAGGTTCTGTGGGCAGTATTGAGCTACAATCTGCAGTTCTTCACAACAGTACTTCTGGGCTCATCTGATTTTAAGGGTAAAGAAACTGAGGCATGAGGAGCCTAGGTAATGTACCTCCAAATGATAAAAGTAGTAGCGTTAGGATTTTAAGTCATGCCAGGTTGACTTTTACACACCTGGGCTCTGGTCAATGTATATTGCCAACCCCATGCCGAGTAACGTTCTCAGTTTTAAAGAAAGGGATTCCAGATGAGAGGTTTTGATGAAAAGGTGGTAGGCACAACAGTCTGGAGTTTGTGAAAGAGCACAGGAAGGCACAGGATGGCTCAGGCAATAAAGGACCAATAGGTGCTTTCGGATCTTACCCCAAGACACTCAGAAAACAGCAGAAGCTCCCTGAATTTGGCTGAGAGAAGATTATCTGTCAACTCCCCTGCTTTGCGTGGTTATGTCATCAAATAACTACAGCAAAGTCATTGTGGTCTTCCATATTCAGGTCAACAATTGGGCTTATGCTACCTTATTTTCTTGTGGCTATAAGAAAAGTCAGCACATTTGTTGACATAATTTTCATTGAAGGTAACAAAAGTACTAAGTGCATGGAACATATCTTTTCATATAATATTGGCTTAGCATGTAGAATATTAAGTGACAATAGTGCTGCTTTGAAAACACTTAAATGAGCTCTGTATTTGTGGGATGGAAGTGAATTTCCTCGTGGGATAAGTTGTAGTGATGGAAAATCAACTTTGTATACCTTTGTCAAAAAAGACTGAAGAATATTGGACTCATGTAAAAAAAAATCCCACTACGCTTCTTTTGATTGTAGCTGGCTTAAATATATAACATGCATTTTGCATTATAAAGTTTATTATGTGATGGTTAAAATTCTAAGTTTTAGTCAGCATACTTTTGAAACTCATGAATGAATATTGGATTTGACATTTTTCATTGTATTTCAAGCAGTTGCTTGAGGACGAGAAAGATTAAAATGGTAAAGGGCAAGTAAACTAAGAATTTAAACAGGCTGTACCTGTAGATTACAGTAAAAATTTTCCAGGGGTTTAAGCAGGAGCTGAATTTCAATCTTTAATGAAATCCTTTGGGGGAAAATAACAGTGGAGTAAAACACATTCTTTTTAGATCTACAGATAATTAAAACCTACTCAATGGATGTTTTTCACTAAATCAGAGTAAGCATTTCGAGAAGCTGGGAATTCCTAAAGACTTACCTATTCAATCTTTCTGAGACACAAGCTCCTCAAAGAAAATGCAGGCTGTATTTTCATTGATAAACAAAGCCTTGTTTGAAAAAGTGTTCCCAAGAAACTTGGTGGAAAATTTTAGAATATTTTGAAAAATATTCAGTTCATCTTAAGTGCACTTTGTTTTGACTTGCTGAAGAGGTTTCTGCAAAGAAGAGAGTTTCTGTCGAGCTTTTCTCTTCATCCAGACAGCTTTGAAGTCGAGGAAGGTAACTCGAGCAGCCGCTGGGCTTTGTGTGTCTTAGTGTGCTCTTCTAGCCTTAGGGTTAAGATAAAATGAAAACCATTCTGGTCTTTCTGCTTGAAACATGAGTAATGAAGTAAATATTAGTCCTTAAATTCATTTGGATTACAAAAATACCTGTGAAAAATAATAAAAGCAGATACATTCTGAGGTTTTCAGTTATATTGCATGGCAACGAAAACTTTGCTAGTATACCTGTTTTCTTTGTTTTAATTATTCTAGCTGATTGATTCTGCTTCACACCTGAGGACAAGGGCATTGCCAGAACATGGACTTAATTTTTTTCCCTGTTCTTAGTCTGTTAGCCATCCATGGATACAAACATAAATGTGGTCCATGGAAGATAGGCAAGCAATTTGATTTCTTACCGTCGTATTCAACGTGTAGTGAGCACAAACTTACACTCAAGGGTGAGTAGTAAGCTGGCACTAGATAAGTGCTCAGATTTTGAGGCAAGTTAAATAATCACTCTAAATCTAGTTTTTCTTATCCGTCAGCTGGCACTAATAACATAAATGTTATAGAGTCGTAAGATTTGGTAAAAGTACATTAAGCCTGTACTTCCATATAGCAGAGGGAGCTCCTATGTTTAAAACAGAACTGTCTCTCCATTGGGTTATGGGGCATGAGGGTCACGAAAGGCAGAGCGCAGGGAAAGGAGCTTAGAATGAGTGGGAAGGAAAGCTACACATGAGAGTGAGGTGCAAGTGCCTGCAGCAATTTCTCCCAAGTTATCTCCTTTTTGCTCTTCCATCAGTTGTTTAAGGTGGACATCCCAACTACGCTAACTTGGTCACTACGCATTATAGACACGTAACAAAATTTTCATGTACCCCATGAATTTGTATAAATAAATAAAAACAACATAAAGCAAAATCAAAGAAACTAAAAATATCCCTGCTTCTGTGACTAGCTTATTTCAGTTAGCGCAATGCCCTCCAGGCTCATCCATGCTGTTGCATATGCAGGATTGCGTCTTTTAAAAAGTGGAAAAAGCTGTAATTATATATGTATTATATGTATATATACACACACACACATATATACACACATACATATACGTATGTGTGTATATGTCACATTTTCTTTATATGTTCATCTGTCAATGGATATTTAGGTTGCTTTCATGTCTTGACAATTGTGAATAAGGCAACAATGAACACTGGGGTACTCATGTCTCTACAAGATCCTGATTTGAATTCTGTTGGATATATACCGAGAACTGACATTTCTGAATCATGTGGTAATTCAATTTTTAATTTTTTGAGGAAACTCCATATTGTTTTCCACAATGGCTGTGCTGTTTCATGTTCAATGGACAGTGAAAAAGGGTTCTAATTTCTCCACATCCTCCCCAACACTTGTTCTTTTTTTAAAAAAAAATTAGTCATCCTCAAAGATGTAAGGTGATAGCTGCCTGTTTTTTGATCTGCATTTTCTTGGTTCGCAGTGATGTTCAGCACCTTTTCATGTGCTTATTGGACAATTGTATCTCTTCAGAGAAGTGTCTTTTGCCCATTTCTTAATTGGATTGTGGGATTTCTTTTTTTTTTCTTTTTTTTTTGCATTTGATTTGTAGAAGCTTCATGTATATCTCTATATCTCAGATATTAACCCCTTACCAGATAAATGGTTTGCAAATCTTTTCTCCCATTCTGTAGGTTGCCTTTTCACTGGATTGATTGTTTTCTTTGCTGTGCAGAAGCTTTTTAGTTTGAGGGAGTCTCACATGTCTCTTTTTCTTTTCTTTTCTGTGCTTTTTGATCCCACTTGTATGAAGTATCTAAGACAGCCACACACATATAAGCAGAGAGTAGAATTGTGTTTACCAGGGGCCAGGGGAAGGAAAAATCGGGCGATCTTTCAAGAGGTATAAAGTTTCAATCATGCAAACTGAGTAAGTTCTAGAAAACTGCTGGTCTACACTGTGCCTAGAGTCACCATCACTGCATTATATGCTGAATAACTGGTGAAGCGAATAAATCTCAAGGTCAGTGTTCTTACCGCACACAAGAAAATATCTGTGCAGGATAAAACACTGACAGCTAATAGTTGTTTATATCCTTGAGTGGGGTGATTGTGTCATGGGTGTATGCATATTTCAAATGCCTCCAAGTATGTATATTAAACGTGCAGTATTTTGAATATTGATTACATCTCTTCAAAAATGTCAGATAAGTCACATTTATCCCACTTCTTCAGGTAGAAAATGTTGAAATCTAAAATTACCTTGATTTGTGTTGTTCATCAAGTTATAAATGTATGCAGTATTTAAAATGGGAGAGAATAAACTGCAGAGAAGCTTGACTTCAAAAAGGATAAAAACCTAAGTGTCATAAACATGGCAGTGCATTCAGGTTCGCTCACTTTCCAAAGAGATTCTTTGATTGCTTCTACTTTGATTCCCGAGAAATGTCTTGGCTTTACGTTAGCATTTGTGTAGCAGTAACAGCCCATTACCCTGTGGCCACGTTCTATTACAATGACATTTCACTTGGAGATACAGATTGTTTCTTAAATATAGGCTATATACCTGGTCATTTCCTCCGAGTACATTAAAATACTAATTATTACTCTTGTTAGCTTTTGTCTTTGAGTGACAAGTTCCAGCAGTGTTATTCCAAGTAATTCCATGATGTCAGCAGTTATTTCAGTGGATAGAAATGTGTACGCAAAAATTGTCACTTTCGTTATGAGATTCCTTCTGTTGGGTGTGTTCGCACACACATACACAGACCTCATCAACTAATTCCTTTGAAATTGAAAGACTGTCTTGTTTGAGACTGTTTCCGTGGTGTAATTATTAATAGAACTTTCTTGTATTCCCAAAATATTTTAATTGGGACTACTCTGTTTAAAAACCATTCTATTTCTTTAAACAAGAAAAATAGTCTTCTTTAATTATACAATTTTTCTACCCGGAACCACATGTTAGCTTAGAGGTCTCAGGGACTTAATCACTTTTCACATTAAATTAAAACTCTGCATATCATTCAGACTTTCATCCACTATCTACCTCCCAACCAAATAACACAAAGTATTATTTCAATTGATACGTACCCAAGAAAAACTTGTGTATTTCATGTATTTTCTTGTTGAGATCTCTAGCCCTCTTTCTTGGCTAATCTATAACATTACATGTTATAGGTAGAGAATGAATTAAACTACTTTGTCCAAAAATATATATAGGCATCAATTGTTTTTCCCCATTTCCTTACATGTACGTGTGAGAGGGAGAGTGTGTGTGTGTGTGTGTGTGTGTGTGTGGATATTTATTTGTGTATGTGCAAGTATGTGTGCATGTGTGGGTGCATGGATGTTTGTGTGTGCATGTATGTGTGTGTCCATGATTGTATATGTGTGTGTCCATGCGTGGGTGTGTATGTGTGCACTTAGATTTGTGCTATATTCTCTGGTTAGAATGCTCTTTCCTCTTTCTTCTCTTGTTAAGAGTATTTCTCTCTCAAAGTTCAATATTAAGCCTTCCTTTTATTCTCTCAAGCCTCATTTATCTTCAACCTCTGTGAGCTTTCTTTTTCTCCCCTACTCACCACTCCATGAGACACTTGTGCACACACTGCCACCACCACCACACTGGCTAAGTTTTTCAACTCATTTCACTTCTGTAGTATCTGTATTGCATTATATTAATTCTCACCATAGAGAATTACTTGTTTATATGTCAGTGTTGTGATTATTGCTATTCTTTCTAAAGGCTATGTGTAGTAGGGGGTCGATGTATGTTTGAGTGGGCAAATGCCCATCTTTGCTGTGTGTACTGGGCTCATATACTACGAGGGCTTGGACTAAGTGAGCCTTCAGTATAGATGAGGTACATTGCAAGTGAGTTTATATGCATTATTCTATGGAATCCTCGGTTGCCCTAAGTACCCCATTTTACCAGTGAGTGAGGAAACTAAGGTTATGTAGCTGAAAAGTAAGAAAAGTTAATGAACTACTTTGATTTTTTTTCAAAGTCATACTTGTAGAGTGTAATTGTAATTGTAATACATTTTAAAAACTAAGTCATCACAGAACTAAAATCTGGAAAAAATAATTAATTGTTTTTAATTCCAAGAGTTTCAACATTGGAAAACACAAGCATAAGAATTAGGCAATTAAAGAGTTTAGACATTTGGATTAAACCTAATAAGAACCTAGGCTTAAACAGATCTGACAGGAACCAGCAGTTGTGACGATTGCTGCATAAAGCATCCAGTAGCTTCAGTTTGACACCAGTATATTCATGCTGTATCAAGACATCACTTAAAATAAATTTAGTGGACAGAGTGGCAAAAATGCATTTCACAGACACAGTGATGGAATGAGAACTGCAAATTGTGAAATACAAATAATTACTGGATTTCCCAAATGGTTGCTAGATGGGATCATCAGAGGCAAAGTCCGAATAAATTATCAAAACAAAATATTAGTCACAGAAAGTACACAGTGCACTTCTCACATTAACATAACATATTATGAAAAAGACAATCTGACGGAGAAAATTACAGAAGGGACAAAATACATATGGTTTCATCAAACCAAGAAATATTTTCTAAAAAGATTTGATTGCCATACCCAGAGGTTAAAAACAGTATTATATATAAAAATAGTGAATCATTCTTATGAAAGCTTACATATAGGAGAGACAACATTGTATATGGCTAATTATATTTTAAATAAATACTGTGAACAAAGTATCTCAAGTATCTTTTTTTGTTTTCTATGAATTGCTAAAAATGTAAAAATTGCTAAAAATTGCTAAAAATATAAAAATGTAAAAATTTTTCCTGCACATAGTTTAAGTCACAGGTGGGATAACTGCCTAGTTATCCTGTGGCCCAGGTAAATGAGAAACATCTCCATCGGGTTACAATCCACGTAAACTGACAGTTTACATTTTTTGGAATCCTCTTAAAGGCATATAGATTATCTTTTTAAAAAAATCATCAAACTAGGCCAGTTGAGGTCAAATAAAGCAATGAACACATTTTTGTCCTCTCTAAACATAAACCTAGATTTCAGTAACCTGCAGTGGGCAAGGCTTCAGTGGTATCTGGTGTCCTAAGACAGCAAGACCCATAATCGGATCCTCTAGTTAGCAAGTGGTACGGTGAAAGTAAGTTGCAAACCCCCACGAATCACACACAATTTTATTTTACTTTGCTGGAATGCACAGTCACAGAAGTAAATTCAGAGGCTTATAACATTTAACTTTCAAAAAGGGAAGATAGGAAGCATGTGAATGTTCTGGTAATTTTTTTACTGAACCCGAAAAGAAAGGAAGAGAATAGAAAAGGGAAAGAGGGAATGTAATAATTCCCATAGTAGTGATGACATCAGAAGTCATTGCATTACAGAGGAACTTTATTTTACGTAGTATTCTCTGAGAAGCTTTATTCGATTAGATTATTTAAAAATACCTGAAGCAGGCAAGCAAATGTGATTACACACATTTTACAGCTGGGCTAGAGCAGAAGCGTGTGGAGGCAGTGGGGACAGGCTCAGCTTTTCTGATCTGAGTTTGTTGGCTTTTATTTAGTTACACGTACCCAATTGCTAGAGAGTTGTAACATCAATATAGTGTTAGGAAAGGTAACATCACTTATAACACAAGAACATCCATTTTGCTTGGAATTCAACCAAAATGAATAGGGCTCTTTCTTCAAAGGAATCAGAGTCATCATTTCCTTTCAAAATTCCCATTAGGTGAAGTAAACTTCCCTATTTTTCTGAATATGAAGGGCTGCATGAGACTCTGTAGGAAGAGCCCTGATTACTAGGGGATTTCAATGATGCTTTAAGTTTTCTTTGTGTTGTACTGTAAGATATTTCATAATTCATGAAGAATGTGCATGAAATATGAGAAAAGTGCGTTCCCTGTACTGTCTTACTGCGTAGTATGAGATTTTTACCTTAATTTTCTATCAAAACACTGAAGAAGAAAAATCTAGGTTTGCTTTATGGGGATAAACGCACCTCTTTGGAGCTATTTAACTATTTGGATAAAGTTTCTCTGACTAACGGATTCTTAAATGGATTGGATTATACTGGCACATGTTCCCAGCCTATTCATATTTGCCTCAATTTGAACTGGAGTCTGCGTAATAATCCTTTATAATTGTAAGAATGTTTTTCCTTCCATGACGTGACCTGAATGTCACAGTGACGTGATTACAGAGAAGAGAGGATCTGTGACTCAGAGAAGTTTCGGCGTCTTGCCTGATACAACCGAGATCTTAAGTATCAATCTGGTATCTTTTTACACTTAAGGAAGATCTCTTTCCCCTCCACATTGTTCTTCTTGGTGTGGAGCAATCTAAGCCGTGCGATCTGAGACATTCTAATGACTACGTGCAGATTGTGTCTCTTACCATTTTTGAGCACTACGAAAGTAAAGCTTGAGGAAAGATGGAAGCAACATGAAGATATACACATCTGCAAGTTAAGAGAAAAATCTCAAATCACCTCCATATAAAAGTAGTAACAACAATTATTCTTGCATTAGTATTTAGCTTGCAACAAGTATTACAGTTACTGTCTTCATCTTATTGTCTTGTTTCATATTAATAAGGTGGGAAAAACAGGAATAAATGTCTTTATGCCTGAATGCAAAGTTAGATCCTTATTAGTCCATGAGCTATGCAGCCTTGTTAAGGAAATGATACAGCCATTTGAATGATGGCAAAGCACAGGCTTGAATCATTCTGAATTTTTCAACTCAAAATTACTTCAGTGATTTCAGAAAGCTATCCCGTTTGTTTTCACGCATTTCTTTGCTCACTTTTTTTCTTCACTTGGATCATTCCCTTATTATTCTTCTGTCTTTCTGAGAGGAGGTTGGCCATTTCCTTATGGCTCTTTGGTAGGCTTTTTGTTAACATTGACAGGAAAACCAGTGCAGAAATGGCTACTATTTAATCTTGCTCTCGTGTATATTTTAATTGCCAAGCAAGCTCTATTAAAATGCTTAAAAATCATAGAAGTGCATATGAGTCATTCTTACCTTTTTATAATGCTTCTGAATACTCAGGCTTCTATGGCGCACTAACTGTGCCCAGCCCTGTGTTCCTGGCAGTCTGTAGTGTTTATTTTTTGTGAAGTCGGGTCACCGCTACAATTCAATAATGCATATCATTCTCTGTCCAGGCCAAGAGAGGATGCTGCCTAAATGCAGCTTGTTGAGTAGCTCTCCCTTCACAGAGAGGTGGTGCAAGAATTCTAGCCTCTGTCCCAGCTCAGATTTGCCTTAGGTGGCTTTCTTGGACCAGAGGTACAAGGCAGGTGGATAGACTGCTGTGGTTCAGGAAGAGAAGCATGGAATTGGAGACCTACATGTTGATGAATAGAACAATTACATAGGTTTACCAATTACAATAAAACCAATTAGTTGATTGATAAGTAGATATTTCAAAAATTACTTATGATAACATAAATGGTTCTCCCCACCCCCAAAGTCCACAGGGCAGATAGTTCTTCCCTTAGAGAAGGGTTCCCTACACTCGTTTGCTCTTCTGGTTGGAGGAATGGAACCTCCACACCCAAACAGCCCCACCCTTAGCATTGACTCCTGTTTCATGGAAAAGCAGCCAGGTCCCTCTCTACATGAGCATTTTCCGTTCAATGGTTTTATCTGTAAGAACTCTGTAGAAACACTGGGACAGAATTTACAAAAGACTGAGACAGGGGTGACAACAGATGATATTTGTTGATGGAGTATTTGATATTCCAATCTTAAAAGGAGAAAATTTGAAAATGCTTAACAAGATACACACATTTTACTTATGAGACAGTCATCAAAATTTGAGATTCTAACACAAGGGAAAATAAAATCAGAATTAATATAGGGTCCTATATAGCATATATGTATTATGTTGGATGTCAATTTGGCAATAATATTTCTATAAGTCAGTTGGGAAATTTTATTTGCTCTATGAAGCTTGCAGAATGACATAAAATGAAACAAATTTGAGAGGCCTATTTCCATGTCAAGTAAATGGACACATATTCCCTATGTGAATATGAGCTATGTTGTCTAATACAATTGGTAAATCATATGAACAAGTTTTTAATGATGAGGTTTTGTTTTTGTTAATTGTAAAATGCCAAATACTAGTTAATATTGTAATAATTGTTATTATTATTTCTTCTGTCAAAAAAATTGAATGTGTGTTCCTTGAGAGTGGAAGGACACCAGTAGAGCAGAAGGACGCATGAGCTGCCTGCTGCTGTTGCTTTTCGATAGAATAGCAGCAAGTGACATGCAAGTGCTGTTGTTGCTGAGCTGCTCTTCCAGGTATTCTGTGTCTTCCAAGCCATTTATTCCTCACCAGCCATGAAACATAGCTAATATTTTTTTTCATTTTGCAAATGAAGAAATCAAGTCACAGTTTTAATATAAATTACAGGTCTTGGAATCAGAAACCCATTTCCAAACCTTGTTCTCACCACTTAAACTGAACTTTCTTTAGTAAACAGTTTAACTTTTCTTATCTGTGAAGTGGGAAAAATGATAATGCATAATTCCATGGTGAGTCTCTAATGAAATGAAAATACTTTTGTTTTACAAAGTACCAAGCGATGTGTAGCTATTATAATCAGACTATGAGTTATGTTTGCATTTGCACTTTCTGTGCTACATGATGATTGTTTTTTCATCTAAATGTTTATTAATTTATTCATACCTTTGCCCTTTCTCTAAAGATATTATTTCCTTTTACTGGCACTTTCCCTCAAGGGTGTGACAAGTGGCCTGACACATGATTTATCAGGGAAATATATGTGCACATGTGTGTGTGTCTCTGGATTCATGCCTATATAATATTATTCTTAATACGTATGTATTTAATGTATGCTAAACTAAATCAAAATTGTTGCTGAGGTTGAATTTAAGTTTGGATTTACTGAGCTCTCTTGTAATCAGAATGTTAAGAAAAGAAAACGATGTTATATTGTTCAAGGGGAGCTTTCCATGGCACTTATTGAAGGAACATTAAACTGTGGCAGGCAATGCTCAAATTTATACTTTTGTAATCTAGCTTTGGTCAATTTCATCGAGCTTTTCTAGACTAAATCGGGGTGACCTACGAGAAAATCGTTACAAAGAATGATTTTTCTATTGCTATACATTTTAAAACATTTGCTCAGGAGAACTCATGGTGATATGATATATTGAGAATATATAAATCTCATTTGTCACATAAATTATGCAATTTTACGAGTAGGCTTCCCGACTTTTAGTTCTGTATTACATGTGTTCAGTTCAATGCATCCTCCTGAGTTGGTTACCTTGCAATTCATATATAAAAAGTGCTGGTCACTGTGACGCTGACTGAACCTTATTATAATGATGCATAATACCTCAATGTGAAATTTAACTTTTTAACTGTACCTAATGCTAGGGTAGACAGATTAAAATATAATGTTTGAGCAGATAATATTTGTTGCTGATTGTTCTAATGTTCTTTGCTGAAACTCTATCATATCATTAACTATTTTCAATTTTCACCAAATGATCCTGTAGTTACAAGCTCCCTGCACTTATATATCACTCATGATGGTGTATTTCTAATCACATTGAGAGTACCTACTCAGCGTGATAGCTGCATTATATTAATTCGACTACAAACAAAATTATGCAATTTAAAGTATTGATTGTGATAGCATTATCTTTTGATACATCTGCCCTGTAATACCATTGATTTTATGCATGTTATTAAATTGTTTCCTTTGATTCAAAAATTGTATTTTGATTGCATGAGCAAAGTCAAAATGTGGGAAATTATAATTTTACTTTGAAAAGGAAACCATGCAGTAGTGTCTTGGCCTTTTGCCTGTGGCTGGAATAAGAACTGGATCATTGGACGTGCCCTTTGGGCCTCCTCCCTAGAGAAGGTGCGTCTTGCTCCTACTTCTATGAAAACACTTGCTGTGCTGTGCCAGAGACTTGACGTAGGTTGCCAAGCAGGCCTCATTTTTTTAATTTGTTATAGATGTTTTATCTTAGCATATTAAAAATGTGAGCTTGAAGAAAATAATAGCCACCTTAATGTATAGCTTGATTGGGCAGGCCTGGCACACATATTAGTGGGAAAATCTTCATATTTTTTCACTAACTGCAAATCTAGGTTAAAATCATATACATATAGGAGCACAGTAATATTTATACATGAGTATAGTGTGTATACATGTGTGTGTATTTATGTAAATATTATGATATGTATTTATATACAGATACATGGAGGCATGTATATACACATAATAAAGTTGTATATACATGGTCTAGTTCTTCATATATGTCTATAAATCTTAACACGCATTTCCCTGCCAGGAGCCTCTGAGCCCTCTGCTCTTATCTGTGTTTGGTGCAGTTTTCTTTACTGTTAAATGGTAGCTGTCCTTCAATGCAATTCCCTTTCTGGCAGTAGATGGGAGTGATTGTTATGCTCCAAACCTCAGAGGGCATGTGACTGTTTCTGAGACCCCCATATGACTTGCTTCCTGTATACCATTAATTGCCAAGTCTCTCAGTTCTGGCTCTGTGACATCTCTCCCATCTTTTCCTGTTCCTTCATCCCCATCCTCAGTCCTAGATGAGTCCTGCAACAGCCTCCTAGTTGATTGATTTTTGCATCTGGAAATCACTTCTTTGTAGAAGTTTAAGTCCTGCTTTCTGATGAGCTTTCACCAGTGGGAATTGTAGAGCCATACGGTCGGGAACAGGTGTTCACATGGTTCGCCTGGTTCCTCGACTGTGCTTGACACTCAGAAGGCTCTTGATTAAAATCTGTGTTGAATGAAAATGAGAAAGAAACCGTGATTTGGCTGCGCATGGTGGCTCACACCTGTAATCCCAACATTTTGGGAGCCTGAGGAGGGTGGATCACTTGAGGTCAGGAGTTTGGGACGAGCCTGGCCAACATGGTGAACCGCCCTCACTCCACCACCCCACAGTGCCCCCAGCCCCCCATCTCCCGCTTTGTACTAAAGATTCAAAAATTACCCAGGTGTGGTGATGCTTGCCTGTAATCCCAGCTACTTGGCAGGCTGAGGCAGGAGAATCCCTTGAACCCAGGAGGCAGAGTTTGCAGTGAGCCAAGATTGCACTACTGCACTCCAAACTGGGCAACAGAGCGAGACTCTGTCCCAAAAAAAAAGCAAATAACAAGTGTGATTTAGTGACCAACCTGAGCCAAAGCATGCAAAGCCTCAGACAAACTTGAAGTCTGATGCTCTGTGATCAGCCTTCCTCACATTCTGCCCAGTTCTGCTCCCTAAACCCAGTCCTGCTGTGTTTATCTGTGCACCTGGTAAGCCTCTGCACCTGCTTTCCTTAATAGCGTGACATTTTTGTACTTTTCATTTCTGGAATGCCTTTCTCATTTTTCCGTTTTCAAATATTAATCCACTTTCCAGATCTGGTTTAAAATCTACTTCCTAGAAAGCCTAGATGAGATCATAACCAATTCACACAAAGCAGTCCCACTCTTTAAAACAACCACAGCCCTTCTTGGGAGCCAACATTTAGGCATTCATTACTTGAATAATTTATAAGATAAATTACTAATATCTGTAAAATGTGTTTATTATATAAACTCCTTTTAAAAAGATTTAAAGGTTTCCTTTCTCTTCTTTTTTTTTTTTTTTTTTTTTTTTGAGACAGCTTTGGTCTTGTTGCCCAGGCTGGAATGCAATGGTGCAGCCTCAGTTCACTGCAACCTTCATCTCCTGGGTTCAAGCGCTTCTCCTGCCTCAGCCTCCCAAATAGCTGGGATTACAGGCATGTGTCACCATGCCTGGCTAATTTTTGTATTTTCAGTAGAGATGGGGTTTCACTGTGTTGGTCAGGCTGGTCTCGATCTCCTGACCTCATGTGATGCTCCCACCTCAGCCTCCCAAAGTGCTGGGATTATAGGCTTGAGCCAATAAGCCCGGTTCCTTTCTTAATATATTGCAGTACAGTAGCCCCACATGGCTACGTGTCCACAAGCTGGCTCTGTCCACAGTGGGACTGTGATGTCATACCTTTTGCCTAACTCAGAAGGCTGAGCAGGGAAGGACACAAATGCAGATTGGTTTGAAGCCAATTCAAATAAATTGTTAATTGTGGTTTCATCAAATAATCATTTGATGAAACCACAAAACTTTGTTCTAACATGTTCAAATCTATTGATCTGGAGACATTCATTATTACACGTTCCAACTCTTCCTGATATTGACCTAGATGTCATTGATTGAGTCAGAACTGTCATTTCAAATTTAGGTCACCCAGCGGGATACTACCTAATTTCCTCCAGTCAAGTCATAATTCAGAAGGAAATTTAAACTAATTCTATATAATTAATAAATTTAAAAAACGGAAAATGATTTATGAAATATGAGGATCCATCAGTCTCTATAATAAACAGTCATAATGCAAAATGTTTATTCAACCAAATACGTAGTTTTGTGATTATATAGTTTTTATCAGTGAAATATGAGCTAATAGTATCTAACAAATGATTAAGAGTCCGCAGTATTATAATTTTGGGGTACCTTATTACAGTAAGCTAAAATTAATATAGATTTTGAAATTTTAGAACATTTCCTTATCAATGATCTCAATGTTAGGACAAAAATACTGGAAACCTATGTCACAGGGTACACCTGCATGAGCTGGGATTTGCTGTTGTGTTCACCCATATACACCAAGTCTCCTACTAGTATACAGCACATGAAGACCCTTGATCAATACTAATTAAAATATAGCTTTATTATTTGCCTAATTAAAGCATTGAATAAATCATTATTCTGGGCTATAATTAATCTATTATTATTACCTCATACCTGTAATCCCAGCGCTTTGGGAGGCCGAGGTGGGTGGATCACTTGACTTTAGGAGTTCGAGATCACCTTGGCCAACATGGTGAAACCGTGTTTCTACTAAAAATAACAAAAATTAGCCAGGCTTGGCGGTGCATGCTTATAATCCCAGCTACTCGGGAGACTGAGGCAGGAGATTTGCTTGAACCTGTGAGGCAGAGGTTGCAGTGAACTGAGTTTGTGCCATTGCGCTCCAGCCTGGCCATTAAGAGCGAATCTCCATCCCCCACCACACACATACACACACGCGCACATGCGCACACGCACACGCACACACACACACACACACACAAAATCATTCTGAAGATGGAAGAAACCTAATTTTCTTGCAGTTTTCACGGAATTCGTTATATATTCCAAGAAATAGGCTGAGGCCGTAATATATGGGATTAAATGTTTTGTCTGAAATTATTTTTTAAAGGTTATTGCCATCAAAACTGTACATTACTTTCTCCTTTAAATGTGATGAAGCTCAAAAAGGGTGTTAATCAATTATGCAACAATTGTTGATTAATTATGAATCACTGATTACTAAATAATTAATCAAAAATGTATAATTACAAACATTTAAGAAATTTAGAGTAGATTGACCTACTTGTAAATATTCTCTAATGGAAAACACACAAAACCTGAGAATGCTACTATGCACTCTGGAATTACTGCCTTGTATCTGATGAAATTCGATGGCAACCCTAGACATTCTCAAGCAACAGTAAAATTACTCCAAAATGCATTTTCTTAAAGTCTGTATGTCGGTAGTTTATCCTGTTTCCATCTTGAATTACTGAGGATTCTTGAATCTCTTAATAGTGTGTCATTCTCTCTTGCAACGTGTAAATTGATGTTATTACAGCTCTGGAGACCCTTTTAGAAACATGGCAAAGATGTTTGCCAGAGATTTGAACTTTGATGAACATGTTTCTCTAGGGCTTCTGGAAAGAGTTAACACATTCACTGGTGTTTGCTCATTATGCTTAGGATAAAAAGCAAATCAGACAGCTTCTGATATTTATTTTTTGATACGTTCTGTTGTATCTAGGAAGAATACAGAAAACAAGGCAGACTGGTAGGCTGAGTTCCATAAAATTAAAGTTTTAAGATGGGCTTGGTGGCAGCTTTATGTTCTATTAATTTTTTTTTTCCAGAATCTTAGCAAATTTTATTTCTCATCACAGCCCCGGCTCTGTGGGGGGAGTGATTTGTTTATTTTTTAACAGAAAGATCATTACTACAAGCATTTCATGTTTGATTTTTCTAAGCACATTTGCTCCTTGAATATATTCCTAAGCCCAAAACATGCAGTATTTCGTTTAGTGTATGCATTAGTGACTGAGGCTTTTGTCAGGGATTTAGCGAGAGCTTAACATATTTTTAGAAATAGTTTTTCTCAACTATGTAAATCATGCATAAATATCTACCTCTGCCAGAGGGATCTTAAAAATGGGTTTGTGTTTTGTTTCTTGTGGATTCCAGTGTTGGTGTGAGTTTTAACAGATAAATAAGGGCAAGACTATTTTTGTGGAATTGTTTATTCTTACATTTTTGTCAAGAAATGCATGATTTAGTGTTGCTATAAACTGATACAAGCAATATTACCTGTTTCTCAAGGGTGTAATAAAACATAGCGATAACATATCAATAACAATAGATTCCCTATGAAAAGTGGAGTATTAGAAATGTGTTTTCCTCCATAAGAGCATCTACAAAAATGCATGAGAACACAAACTCAAGGTCTTTTCCAGATGCTTTGTGAAGAAAGGCAATTTCTTTTAATAGTATTTTTTACATGTTTCTTTCATATTTTATTTGCTTAATGGACTAAATTATAGAGAATAAGAATCTTTGTTTAAATGATCTATGAAAATATTGTATGTAGGTTTTTTTAAAAAAAGCTTGCTTGGATTGACTTTAATATATAATTGATAAATTCATGTGGTATATGTGATATTTTGTTGCAAACATAGAATGTATAATGATCAAATTTGGGGTATTTGGGATATCTGTCAACTTAAGTATTATTTCTATGTGTCGGGAACGTTTCAAGTACTCTTTTTACCTACTTAGAAATTGACAAAGTCACTACTCTGTGCTATAGAGCAGTAGAATTTATACCTTCTATCTAACTGAATGTTTGTACCAAAAAGACTGGAAGCATCTGTCTTTGATTGGAAGCAGCCACTATCCCAAACTGGGAGAAAAACCCCCACCTCCCCGACAAACTTAGAACTATTCATCTGTGAAATACAGACTTCGACTGGTTGTGTCTCACTTAGAGACGTAGGCAAGGCAGTGAACAGACAGCTGTGTTTATCTCGCTGCACACGAAGCAGCCAGTGAGCTTCACAGAAGGGCATAATTGGTTGTGTTCTCATTCCTGAGACTCCTGTCCAGCTGCGTAGGAATTTTCGATGATGTCAAAGCCAAAGTTTTATAAATGACAGGACCTTGTCTTTTCTTGGGCTTGACTCCTGCTGTAATTGGAAGCTGTTACTTTCTGTCTTTCGTTTATTATTTTAAAAAACCAGCATGTATTTCTATGACTTATTCTAATGCGCCTATCAGAAAATTCTATACGGAGAAACAGTCAATTCATTAGGGAACAGTTCTATGATTTGAGGCAGCTGTGGCACTGATTTCACTGTCTCATAGAAGAAAAAAAATCACATCTTTTCCTATGTCTATGCAAAACTTGGTATTTTAAACCATATTCCTAAAATAAACTGAATGTTTGAAAGAGACTAAAAGATTTAAACGAAGCAAAAAAAATGAATCAGTATTCATTTTTTTTCTTATTTCTGTGACTCAATGAGCCAATAGAAATCATTTCAACTTAAAAAGTCCAGTTATGACAGCCCCATCAAAATTTTGAAGTGAATGTGTTATAAGACATTTTAATTATTGCCAAAGGATGAGCCTCACATGTGTTTATTTTTCCATGTCAATATTGGGAAATACCTCTTGTTTCTATGGCAGCAATACATTGCCACCAATCCCCTAAATTTGATAAAATTGTATTTTTTGAAGTTGTATTCTTCTAGAACAAAAATAATCAAATAGCAACAATTTTATATGATTCAACATAATACATTACTTAAAAAAAACTAATTTTAATGGTTAAAAATACAGGGGGCCAATACTCAAGGTAGTTTGAAAGAAGAAACTTCTCTCTCCGAGTCAATATTCCCAATTAATACTAGGTTTGACATTCCTAATTTAAGCAGGTTAAATTGAAATTCAATAAAATTGAATTGTCTTCAGTTCTCTTGTTGAACCTCGTGATTCACCATTTTCCAGAAATGAGGAGAAATTAATGAAGCAGTGATGGTTGATGCCACTACAGCCTTATTTTTCTCACTTGATCATTTATGTGTTGCCATAAAAATGCTTTCCACTTACAGAATACCTTTCTCTAACAGGGTCGAATTACTTTACTGATTAATCGTTTAAGTGTGATGCCCATTTCACTGGGTGGAATAGTACAGAAAATGAAACTCTTACAACAAATATCTCTTTACTTTCTTGTCTTTAATATCATCACTATTTTATGCCATTCTTTAATCTCATATTTCAGGAGAGGTAGCAGTTAATTTTATCTGATTCAGACACAAGGCTGTTACAGTTTTCTTATAAATCATTTGATCTCTTTGAACTAATTTATAAAGTTCTCGTCTTCGTTCTTTATATGATTTATTATATTGGTGATATGCGAGGCACTTTCTTCAGCTTTTTCAATTATTTCAGAGCAAATATATTGTTACATATGAATTATGAAAATTTCCAGATGACGGAATCTCATTGACATTGGAACATTATAAAGTTTCTATGAAATTTTCTATGTAATACAAAATCATATTATCTGCATATTTTCCTGGAACCCCTAAGGGAAAGTAGCAATTATACAGACACACAGCCACCACCCCCCACATACACACACATACGCGCGTGCGCACACACACACACACGTGTATTTTACTAAGTGTTACAGACAATTGCCAAATAATAACATCAAACATGACTCGGGTGGTACTAGGTGGCAAAGCAAGAAAAGGCCTTGTTTAGTTTCCCTGCATAGTGAGTTTGAAGGTACAATCACGTTATGAATGGCTATGGAATAAATTATCAAAAGTCAAAAACAAAAATGCAAGCTGTGCATTTACAAAAGAAAAATAAGTTGAGGAACATATTAAATTTGACTATGAGAAAATCAATTTGAATTTTATTAGGTAAATCATTTCACATAAATGAAAAATCTGCATCCATTTACTTTTAATACATGACAGGGAATGGATGTGAGTTAATACTGCTCAGTTCTTGAAGTTTACATAAAATATTTTAGAATTATATAAAATGGTAGGCTTAAATCCTTAACTAAGGTTTTGTGTTTCTAAAGGCTAAGGAAATAGTTACCAAATGAGCTAACTTTAACTGGTATTTTTGTATAACATTTATATTGAGCTAACCCTCATTCTAAGCACTTGGCATATATTCACTTGATATTCCTGACAATACTGTAATTACCCCGTTTGCAGGAGAAGAAACAGGTGAAGAAACTGATTTAGGTTAATATACTTGGTAAGTGGCCGGACTTGGATTTGAATGGCACTGTTTAATATGGCAACCGCTTGCCCCATGTGGCTGTTGAGTTGTAGACATGCAGGTGGTCCACAATGATATGTACTAGAAGCATAAAATACACAGTATATTTCAAATATTTAGTGTAAAAAAACATGAATTATCTCAATTTTCACTTATTACATGTTGAAATGACAGATGTTTTGGATATGCTAGGCTAGATATCAAACTCAGTTTTAGCCTTTTTAAATATGGCCCCTAGAAAAGTTAAAATTACATATGTGGCTTGCATATTATTTCTACTGGAGAGCACAGCTTTACCTTTTGGTCTAGCTGTAGGGAGTAGAGCTCATGGGTCTAGGCTTTTAAACCTAAGGCCTCTTTACTGAAGAGTAGAACTTAGTCTGAGATTCTTATTCATGTCTATTGGCAATCCCCTGGAAGTCTCTTGTTAGTTTATACATACAGTATTCTTAGATTGCAGGTAATGTTTGGAAATTTAACTTATACTCCTTACTGCTTAAAATGTTGAGTATCAGATGGGAGATTTTAGAAGCAGTTGTTTCATCCCATGGTGATACACCGGAAACTCTTGCTATAGATGTATAATATTATTAATATGTATAACACATTTAATGATTTTCTTATTGCCCTTCATTAGAAGTATTTTTTCCTAATTCATAAAACTCTATCTTTTCTCCTAAAGAATAATATCAGTGAATTCAGATGATATCAAGACGTGTATTTATCATGAATGTATGTAACAGTTGTCCCTGAATTAATAGCTATGGCTCCTTTTATTGGTAATAAGGTCCATCTGTTTCATTCAGTTTTATTCTGCAGCCAGAGGCAGTGAAGCTGTACTCATCTGTGTGACTGGAAAGTAAAACTCGGCAAGACAACTCAATAAGATCAAGAGCAAAATGTCCTCCAATTTTAAACAAGATTTTCTGGATCTCTTATGTTCTTGAAGAATGATTTCTATCTCTGACCCCAAATAATCCAGCTCAGTTTTTTGTAAACATAGAAAAAGAATATTGGATCCAGACTTGTTGGAGAGACATGGAGAGATAACTTTTAAATCATGAAAGCACTATCACTTTATTACATGCCTGTTGGCCTGGGGAATATGAAAAATGATACCAAGGTTCTAAATAAGTTTATGTTTTAATGTTCTCCCATTAGGCAAACTTTCTGAGTGGGCGTGTTCAAGCGACAGTAGATTTTTAAACCAGTATGTTCTAAATGGTTGAAACCGATTGTCCAAAGGCTGTTGGTATGATTGCTGGCTGTGTTCTATTTAATTTTTGGGTGAAACCATTAGTATCACACCCATTATGATAAGTGTCTAGGAACATATTAAGTTGTATCACTGAAAGCCTTTTTCTACCACAAGGGATCCAAGAGGATGTGTTTTATTCACTATGATTATTATTTGAGAGTACAGATACAAGCTTCAAGTAAGTTACAAGAGCTTAATTCTTTAGATCCATGTTTCCGTCTTTTTCCTTTGAATTCACAGAACTTAGCAAAAGGGTCTATAATCTAGATAGTGCCCTACCAATGATTGTCGCAGGAAGGGGTGGTGGAAAGATAGATTTACACACTTTCTTTAAAGCAAATAATTAGCACCCTTTTTCAACCAGCATCTGTAGTAAATGCTCTGATCATCGTTCCTAATGCAGCAACCCTATACCGCTGCTGACCGACTGGTGCTGGCAATGAAACCAATCTGCCTGCCGCCCTCTGTGACTCCACACCGCCGGAATCGTGGTGGTGGATTCCTCTTTTGTGTAGCACCCAGGAAACATAATTGCAAGTAAGCATGCTAATAAGGACATTGAGCCCACACGAGTATTATTTACAAAAGTCAACCAGATGTGCTATCTATGGGCGAGAGCAATGGGATACACAACAGATTTGTATTTTACTGTTTGGGAAGTTTTTCCAAGTGAACTCCTACTGAGGGTGGGCTTTATTGAATTTAGAAAAGCAGTAGAAAGAGAGCTTGTACTTCCCTCATGGAGACCTTTGAGAATATACTCCTCCTCTTACTAGTAATATTAACAATAACATAGCTTGCTATTATTATTAATATTATGGCTGGCTTCTATGGATCCATTATTCTATGTCAGATATAGAGCTGATAGTTTACATACTGTGATATGATTCTTAACAGAAGACTACAGGTAGTATTTTTATTCAGTTTAACATATAAGAAAACATTTATAGTGTATCTACACATGTATGTACGTGTGCATGTACAGTATTATGTATATTCATATGTATTAGGATTATTACTGTCATTACTATTACTGTAAAAATGCTGAGTAACAACCCATTCCAAAGCTCAGGCCCACGGAACAATGAACACGTACTGGTGTCCTGCTCTCTGGTTTGTCTGGGGTTTAGGTGATTCAGGATGGGCTGGGCTCAGCTTGGCTATAAGACAAGGTTTCAGCTCAAGTGTGCCCCATGAGTCTTTCATTTTTGTGAGAATGTTTGGCTGCCTGGAGCACGTTTCCCACCCGGCAGTGAGGGAAGCTCAGGAGAGTACTGCCCTGAATAGGTTTTAAGTCAGTGCTGTCACCCTACCCTTGGAAATTAGCCGAGGCCTGTCATAGGGCCATGTCCAAAGTCAATGTGGCTGGGAAATAAGGTTTGCTTTCTGTGGGAGAAGCTGCCGAACCCCCGGGTGAGTGGTGGACAGGCAGATGGGAATGAAAAGTTGGGTACAATAATGTCATCCACTTTAATCACAGTCCTAAATTACTCGAGTAGTCTTCTGTATTTCCCATTAATTTTCTATGAGAATGTATTAGTCTGTGGTTAAAAAGAATAAAAATATTTAATTCTTTTTCTATTTCAAGATAAGTCTATTTTGAGATGATGAGGTAGTCCAGATAACATTTGAAGTTAGTCTTTGTATGTGGTTCTTTTGAAAAATCAAAATGCCACATAGAATTGAACATAAATAATAGCTTAAGAGCGCAGGCATGCATCTGTACTTGCTCATTCAACTCCTAGGAAGGGTAAGACCATCTTTCAGGCTGCAGTTTTATTATTTTTTTATGACACCTTCATCTTTTACTGCTTCCCTCAAATTCATAGCATGAGAATTTAAGGTTGTCACAGGACTAGATTTTTGTGATCAAATGGGTGGTTTTCAAATGAAGTTCATCGTTCAATGAATGGGCTCAACAAAGCATACTCTACATGAAACTCACAGGCACTGCGACCATGGTTCAAATGCTTCTTTTCTTTGTATGGTTTCAGGATGATTTTAATTACTGTTTCTGGATGAGAAGAGAAAGTTAATTACCTTTTTGAAAAATATGATTATCGTCAAGATTTCTCTCTTTGTTAATATGCTAGTAGCACGGTGGCAGGAAAAGAGCTCCAGAGGAAAGAAGTGAATGCAATGTAAACTAAATAGATGGCCCACAGATGGGCGTGGGAAGCAGGCAGGGTGTTGATGGCACTAACATCATCCAGGGGACTTTTATGGCAAAGAACTTTGCTTCATCCACAGGCTGGAGGTGAGACACGAGTTCAATACTGCAACGCTGAAAACTGACAGAGCCAGCCTCCCATCTAGGGTGGAACTAGGCCACCTTCCTAGGGTGTAGCGGGACTTGGGTCAGGTCTCCGAGCATGTGCACACTGCATGATCCTCAGTAAGCTATAGGTTTGAAATTGCACCTAGAGAGCTGGTGGTTGTCTAGAGTGTGGCTGTCTGGGTGCTTCACATGCAATTGAGTTATCACTTCCTAGAGACTTTTGAAAGTTAGGTAATTAAACGTTTTTGCTGGGTTCATTTTAAAATTAGAGATTGTGGGTCTGTAAATGACACCGAAAATCCGGGTTTCCGTCATCTCACTGTCTGTTTCATGGGAGGACTCAGATAATTCTTTGAGTATTTAGTTTGTGTGAGAAAGAAAAGCCCTTGGTAATTAAAAAATCGTCTAGCAAAGGCTCAGGTTTACTGCTCTGAGGTCCACAAGCCATCGCATTTGAGTCACCATGAATGGTTACGTTCACAATAATTTAGCATATCTGTGCTGCATCCCACAATGAGCTTCCACTTTCGAGTTTTCCATGTTCCAGGACCACATTTCATCTCAACGTGTTCACCCTGAATCATCCTGTATTCATTAATGGAATATGACAGGGTCTGGAATTTGAACAAATTATAATATAATGCTTTATGAGGTCTGTTCTGTCATCTGCATGCAAAGTATTTTATTTTAAAATAATTTATGTGTTTAAAGATGGTTCACAAGCACTAGGTAATTTAATGTATGTAGCACTTCCTCAGTTTTGGCTCAGCGTCTTCCTCTCCATTTCACATTTAGAGCAAGTGAGAGGGGAAGGTTAAGTGATGTGATGAGGGAGTGTGGCAGAGTGACAATGCAGAGTGGTGGCGTTTCACTCGCTGACTTCTCGACGCAGGCTTCTCAACCCACTGAGCCTCCTGGCTGTAGTAGGCAAGGACTCGGTCACATGAAGACCAAGAAATAATTTATCACATTAGATCACCATGAGAATAAGACCACGAATTGGCAGAGTGCTTCACAATTTTCAGAGGATATTGAAGTGTTCTATAACATGAAGCATATTGCATAGAATAAAAAGATATACTAAATACATCCATGAAAGAGATGGACAGGTGCAATACATATATTCTTGAAATATAATTTTAGGACTATGATTATCGCAGATATTATCTCTCTATACAAACGAGTAAACTGACATCCAGGGGGAAAAAACATCGTCCCTGCAGAATCAGGTCTATACCTCATTTTATATGCCAGTATTATATTATCAGTTGGATACTTGGGTACTTGAAACTCCAAATTGGAGCTGCTCCATTACAAAGTTTGTTTTCTGTATAATTCTACCTTCTACTAGATTTAAATTAATCCTATGTGTTTACCAGGAAGTGGAAATTAATTTCAAGTTCCTATCCCTTTTTGTTAAGTAAACCGCTTTAAGTGTTTTCTTTTCTCTTTTATTAGGGAAGCATATGTAGAGAAGGATTGGGTACAGGCTGTTAGACAATGAGCCATGTCTGTATTTGTTAAATAGTATCAGTAATCATATCTGTATTAGGTCCCCTAGGAATAAATTGTATCATGTAAACAGAACAAATACTAAGATACTTTTCTTGAAGGCTTGCAGGCATTTCATATAGCAGTCATAAGGATATAATGTATGAACATAATATTGGTTTTATATTTTGATCACTAAAAGTCAGTAAAAATTCTTTGTAATATTATCTCTCTCTGCCTTTTATATCCCCTGTCTTCCTTCGTACTTTCCTTCCTTCCTTCCTCCCTCCCTAATTCCCTCCCTCCCAGTGTTCCTCCCTCCCTCTCTCTCTCTCTCACGTCCATTCTTTTGTCTGGTGGTAATATAAAGTCAGTCAGGAATCCCTTTTTAAATAAAAAAAAAAAAATCTACACCGAAGTCTGTATATGACTGGCAATTTATTCAGTAATTGCATAGAAAGCTTTGTAATTTGGCGTCTTAAAATACCTGCATCAAAATCAATGATTCTCTATTATATTTAAAATTTCTGAACATTCCATAGCATGAGTTTTTCAATTATTAATTGCTTCTGCTCTGTTGGTTTTCCAGCTTCAATAATTAGAGGCTTATTTTCCTGGAGCTTTAGAAGGTGTATTTTAACTCATCTAGTTAAATATGGTTTAAATTTCCTGAAAATTAATTCATTATTTGGTTCCATTCAGAATACAAGGGCATCTAGTTTTGATGTATAAAGGAAATAGTTTCTCGTTATTGTGGAAATAATTTTAATGGTTGAACAAATAACCAAATAACCATGAAATAGAACACACCCCTAATACTGTTTTGTTGGCATTTAAAAGATGTGGCTTTCCAATATGTGAGTAGAGTTGTGGCTCCTGCCGTCTTTGACTTACGATACATCTGTAAAGACTTGTCTTGCATGAATGCCCATCGTATTTATGGAGGCTCTGTGGGCTAGCTGCTTTCTCAGGCAGTTAACACTTGGCTCTCATTAAATTCTTACAAAAAATATGTAACACACACATAATTACTGTGTCAAGGATATTCTATGAGCTCAAATGTAGAGCACCAACAAAGAGAAGGACTAAATAAATACCAATAACGTTCTTTGAAAAAAATTATATTAGTATTTTAAAAGGTTACTAGAATAGACATTCGTGGAAAAAAGCAGAAATGAGCTTAACTTTATTTTACTGATATGTTTTCATTTTGAATTCTATTGGATGGAGGATAGAAGACATAGATCTTTTCAGTAATTAAGATCTACAAAACAATAGTAGAATCCTGGCTTTCGATTTTATAAATAAAACAGCTGAGATTTACAGTCAAATTTGTCTCTGGTAGTTCTGGTCTGTTGAATGTCGGGCAGATTCCAACCTAGGGCTTTCTGACCCCTAACCCTCCTCTCCTATCATGCAAAACCCCTTCCTATAAAAGAGACAAGAGACAAATCTAGACTGGGTATCTAATAACTATGTTGAGTACATCACTGGTAGTTAATAGTAACTGAAACCCTTTTTATATTTCGAAGGCTTATTTCCATGAATTCTTCACTGAACACTAAAGGGAATTGCTTTATCGATGTTTCTGTTTGGATAACATTTCTCAGTAAACCATAAACCATGAATTTATATTCAAAAGTTTGGAATTTATCCTCACTTTGGAAAGTGGCCAGGATCAACTTAAAGAATATTAACAAATAGCTTATATTCATATATAGTCCATTGTATGGGCAAAAAAATCATATACATGATCTTTTAAATAAGACTAAGCAATTGTACTTTTCTGTAACACAATATCAAGATCTGTTTTTATTGAATTAGAAATGGCACCGGAGAAAACCAAATGATATCTGGTGACTTTACTGCTGGCTCTAATAACATAAAGATTCTGAAAATATAATTTCTTGTAGAAGCCAGCACTAAGATCACTTTATTCTGCCTCTCTCCAGTGGTTAATGTCACACGATTTGAAAACACACGGATATGACATGATATTTGCATCTCTAAGGACATACTATATTTTTCAAAAACTAAGTATTATTGGAGTCTGTCCTTCCCTATGACGTCACGGATTTTCTATGTCAGGAAGCGAGAATGAGTATAACAATAAATGATTGTTGACATATTTAAACATTCTCTTTGGAAGATAATATCAAAACAAGAAAACAAAGCCTTTCACAGTATTAATGAGGTATTACAAAGTTATCAGAAGCATGGAAATCCATGCCTAGAAACAGACAGGATACCTAGAGTCATTGTGAATTAAGTGTAAGAAAAAAACATTGTGATCTCTTCATAAACTATAGTTTGAAATTATAAAGTTTCAAGTTGCTTGGAAATTCACACTCTGTCTTTTCTTAAGTGGTGTCTTGTTTTTATTGTTTGATTTCGTGGTTTGTTTTCAAGTCCACTGTGAGATGGCACACATGATAAAGGTTAATTCCCAAAGTTAAGTTAACCACGGGGATGCTTCTCACTATCCCTACACACACACACACACACACACACACGCGCGCACACACTCATTTTGCTTGTTCCTAGTTGGAGGACCAGTCATAGGTCAAGATGAGCCTGAAACCACGAAGCCTTGGCTGAGGCAGGCAGAGGAAAAGGGAAAAGGGCAAACACTACTAGTTTAAGCCAATTGTACTTTGATGCAAAATGAGCATCCTATAGATAGCATAACTAATCTAAATGAGTTCCTTTGTGCAATTGCTCTTCGATTTTGAGATCCCTCCAGATGGCCTTAAAACTGTCTGTGGACACTTAATATTTTCTATATGTCATCAACTTCAACTAGGCTATATAGCTACGTCCATTAATGCCCTTTGCAAATGGTCTGTCTACACCAGGGAAGCAAAATGCTGAGCCTTGCTTCAATGATGGATGCAGTAAATATGAAAGGAAGAGATGATCAAAATGTACCAGTTACCTTGAATCACAGTACGAATGCTGCCTTGCAAATAGTACCTATGCTTAAAATACATTGGGCTTGCCAAGTCTCAGTAGTCTGAAACAATAATTCTATCCTTTGTCATTTTAGAAAAGAGTAGCTGTATTCATTTCTCTTTTTACTCTCAGTTGTATTTTTTTTTCTTTTTGCCTCACAAAGTTTCTGTGTTTTTCCTATTATTAATGTGGGGTGGTGGGTAGTTTAGGCTGCCTTGTGTAGAAGGACAGGGCTCCATTATTGGACAGGCTGAGGACACTGGTGTAGATAAAGATGGTTTCAGAATCCAGAGTGTGTCAAAGCGGCATAGAGGTGCTCACTAACTGAGATGATTGAGATATGCAAAAGAGTTAAATTAATAGAAAAGATTTGTTTCTAATTTAGTAACTGCTGCCCTTCAAAATGACATTAAGTACTTGCGCCCCTCAATTTGAAGAAAAGAAAAAAAAAAGCCATCTGAGGCTGTCAAGTCCGCTAAGAGTAGCTGACTGGCCGAAATAGAACCCACGGGGAGAGGGTGTCTCTCACTTTGAATCTGCTCAGTACTGGGTTCTGGCAGCAGCAGCAGCAATTTATAGCTCACATCTTCCACTTCCACCCTCCTTGTCTGTGATACTTCATATTTCATTTTGCAATTAAAGGTGACCTGAAAATGCTGAGAAAGTCATAGATCAGTCCTCAAGGTGGCCGCAATAAGATTTAGCTAAGAAATGACCAGAAGTAGGAAAAGGGCACAGACAGTCTGAAGTAAGACATTGATTTAAGGTAAGATACAAAAAATGTAAAATGACACCAATTTTTCTTTTCTTTATTTTGGCTCATGAATTTATCATTTCAGATCTGTAGGTTTTTTTCCCTTTTACTTTTTACGTATTAAATGGTGAATCCAAGATATTGAAGACATCAGGCAAGCAGTTGTGCTTACAACTTGGGATAAAACTAAGGAAAGAAGTCTGCTTTTAAAAAATAACAATCAGGAGATTTATTTCCGATATTACAGAATCTGTGATGAGTACAAGACGTAAGTTCCATGTGTGAAAGGGAAGAATTAAAGTTGAGGTTTCAGGGCTTGGACTTTGTGCCCTGCACCCACCACTCAGGTGCCCTCCCCAGGTCCCGAAACCCACCTCCTAGGTGGTGTCTCACCCAAAAGCCCATCCCACCAAAGTGGCCAGAGGCCTTAAGCAATGCAGCTCTGGAATGAGGGTTGCTGCAGAACTTAGCCCAACGTAGCTGACCTGGACAACTCTGAGGCTCCACAGCCCCCTGGGGGATTGCACCAAAGATGGGTCTGTGACTCTACCCCTTTGCTAGGCGTCCTTCCCTGCTCTGCCTCTGACGGTCTGAGGTCTTTATCAGAAAACTCTTCTTAAAAATCACTCTCACATGAATACTTGTGTCAGCATTGATTTCCCAGGAATTAAACCTAAGACAAAGGTGATTAATTTTTAATTTTCCTTTTTTTTTTTTTTTTGAGATGAAGTCTTGCTCTTGTCACCCAGCCTGGAGTACAGTGGCGTGATCTCTGATCTCAGCTCACTGCAACCTCCACCTCCCAGGTTCAAGAAATCTTCCTGCCTCAGCCTCACGAGTAGGTGGGATTACATGTGTGCACCACCATGCCCAGCTAATTTTTTGTATTTTTAGTTGCGATTGGGTTTTGCTAGTCTCGTCTCCAACTCCTGACCTCAGGTGATCCATCCGCCTTGGCTTCCCAACGTGCTGGGGTTATAGGCATGAGCCGTCACGGCCGGCCAATTTTCCTTTCTTGTATTAATAACAATTATATAGGAAACAAAAAGGATACGCTTTATATAAAAAATACACAGGATATTCAATTTTATATCATTCAAATTTTTGGTGTAATAGTAACAGTAATTAACATAATTACTGTATTTTGATTGATGTCTTTACAAACTTTTCTTATGTTAGAAAAAATGAGAAGCATCAGTGTAGTCTGCATGTTCGAGGGTACATGCATCGCTTTCGAAAGCTGCATGCATAGTTCATTTTACCAGTCCAGGTCTGTTGAATGTTTGAGTACTTTCTTACACAGGTTAAAGTTTCTAATGCTGGAAAGAGCATTCTAATACTTATCTCTTTGCATATTGTCACTTTTTTTTTTAAAGAGACATTCCTATACGTAAAATTTCCAGGTCAAATGTAAAGCTTTTTGACATGTAATGCCAATTTTGTTTTTAATAAATATTGTATTGATAATCTCCAAAGCAGTGAAAATAAAGTCCCAATTTTTCAGATACTTGTGTGAGTGCCCAGGGATTACTTTTTTTTTTTTTTTTTTTTTTTTTTTTTTGAGACGGAGTCTTGCTCTCTCACACAGGCTGCAGTGCAGTGGTGCAATCTCAGCTCACTGCAACCTCCGCCTCCTGGGTTCAAGCAATTCTCCTGCCCCAGGCTCTAGAGTAGCTGGGGCTACAGGCACACACCATTACGCGCCTGGCTAATTTTTGTATTTTTAGTAGAGAGGGGGTTTTGCCATGGTGGCCGGGCTGAGGATGACTATTTTAAAACACTTATATGATCTAGGGCTAAAATTACTCGTCATTGTATTACCAGTCATGTCTTTGATTATAAATTAAATTGAACATCTTTGATAAACTTCTTTACCAATTGATCATTCCTTTTATGAACTGGTGAGCTACATCGGTGTTATCCCTTACCGTTTCACTCTTACAGTTTTCAAAACATTTTTTCTTATTCCCTTGTGAGTGCCTGTCATGTAGTGACTTTATGTAAGCACATCTCTCATGTATTGAGTTGATCAAGATCCCAGGGGCGTGACCCATGGCCCGGAAGGAAAGATGCGCAGGGTCGGCCAATGCAAGCCCTGACCTCTGTCCTCACCAGCCCACGCTCCTGCTGGAAACCCCCCTGGATATCAGAGGATGGAGGAGTTGAGGAAGGAGGATGTGGGCGTGCAGAAGCATGGAGAGTGAATTTGGAGGGCAGATCAAGAATGGCCGATGCAAACAGTTGCTGAATTTTTACTTTGGTCTGAGGTCTTACTTTATCTTTTCATTTATTTATGGCATCTGTGATATACAGAGGTTATATGAAACTTTAGGCAGCCAAAATGATTATTTTTCTTCTCCCAGTTTCTACTTTTGAAGTTCTACTAATGAGGTTTTTATCAGCATAATGTTACATACCTATTAATAAATGTAAGTTTCTACTTTTTTTTAACAAATTGGTATTTTTCTGAAAATTAGTTTGGTGTATGGTGGAAGACTGGTATAGTTTTCTTGAAAGAATTGACCAGGTTTTAGACGAATTTTTATTGAAAAAGCATTCCAACACACAGTGTGGTAACTTTTTGAGAGTTTATTTTCCACCTTAGCTTGCCTGTGACTAGTTGTCAGATACTAACCTGTCTGTTCACATATCAGAGTAAGCAATTTTCAATTCTGTACTTTTTAATAGACATTTTATATATTGCAAAATCTCATCTCCTTTTTAAAAATAAAATATCTCCCTTAAAAATTAGAATATTTTTAGTCATTAAAAATGCACATATACACCATGGAATACTATGCAGCCATAAAAAAGGATGAGTTCATGTCCTTTGTAGGGACATGGATGAAGCTAGAAACCATCATTCTCAGCAAACTAGCGCAAGGACAGAAAACAAACACCGCATGTTCTCACTCATAGGTGGGAACTGAACAATGAGAACACTTGGACACAAGAAGGGGAACATCACACACCGGGGCCTGTCATTGGGTGGGGGAAGTGGGGAGGGATAGCATTAGGAGATATACCTAATGTAAATGATGAGTTATTGGGTACAGCATGCCAACATGGCACATTTACACATACTTAAGAAACCTGCACGTTGTGCGCATGTACCCTAGAACTTAAAGTATAATAAAAAAATAAAAATGCTTCGAGATTTTGGCTGGAATAATTTTGCATAGATGCATTTGGGAAAACTGTAGTCTAGGCACATATGTATGTCTTCATTTATGGAGATCTGTCATGCCCTTCTGTGGAATTTTATAAGTATTTAAGATGATTTTCGTAAAATCCATGAGGAAATGTCTTTATATGGTTTCTCTTGATAATTATACATTTTTTGTTACATGAGCACAAGTATTTTTAAATTTCTCTGAATGATTAGTCTCAGCATTTATAAAAGTTACTTATCTTCTACATTTGTATGTACCTATCCCAGTTAAGGAGGTATCTTTGTTGCTTGTGAATCTTAAGGAAAGCATTCCTATTAGCTTCAGATAATTTTATCATGATTTCTATATCTTCGCTTTATACTGTTTCAATCTCTTTTTCTCTCTCCCCCCATACCCTGGAATAATTTCGTACTTTTATATTGTACTTATTTTTGCTATTAGGTCAGGTTGGTGCAAAAGGAATTGTGGTTTTTGCATTAAAAGTGCTGGCAAAGACCACAATGACTTTTGCGCCAACATAATAAAAACATGACCTATATTTGGTACTTAGGTGTTCTGCTTTTGCTGTTTTCAGCTTTTGAAGTGGCAGCTTGATCCCTAGATTCAGGCGGAACACTCTTTCACAGATGCTCCCTTTCTCCTGCTTCATTCCAGGTGCACTCTCAGCTGCCACAAAAGCAAGAGCAGCATCATTGTTTTAAAACATAGTTTTCAAAACAGTTAAAACTCACCATGCATAGTAAAGGATGAAACCTCATCTCCCTCATTGGAAACCTGTCCTTACTGTGTGGGCTTCAGTCAGCTGCCTGCCTGGAGCCTGAGATGCTGCTGCCTGGGTTTGTCTCATTTCTTCCATGGCCTCTGCAATCACATCTGTATTCATCTCTGATTCGATTCTCACTGCATTCCAGAACACATGGACAGAATCTGTTGCTTCTCTCTTAAGAATTAGCTGACAGTCTCCCTTTCTTTATGGAATAAGATGTACCTCACTTTGGGTGGCATTACAAAGGCCTGATGACCAGGCAATCAGGGCCGCTCTGTCCTGCCCCCTCCATGCAGCCACACTCAGAGACCTAATGTGTCCATAGCGTTTCAGTTGTGTGCATATGTGCGGCTTGCCTGACCCCAGACCTTTGCAATTGTCCAAGAGAAATTGTACTGCACAAGATAAACATGCAAAGGGGAATTTACTCACCGTGATTGCAAAAGGGGAAGGGGACTGAATTCGGCTCCACTGAAATAAAAAATGGGAGGGATTTTGAGCCCTGGTACAAGGAGGGAAATGGTCAATGGATGAGTCCACCACGTTGAGTTGGTTGCTCATTTGTTTCCCAGTGTTTTTCCCCATGGGTATGCCACCTGTGTTTGCTAATCAGTGGTCTTGGAGCCGAGGTCTGCAGCCTCCCACAGTGAGTGGGAGACAGGGGTGCTCTCTAGTCTGAGAGCGTGTCTGAGGGATGGCTCCCAGGTCATTGAGAAAGACCATTCTCGGTGGTAAAACTGTCAAGAAGCTCTCAAAGATATTTACATACATTACAAAGGGGCAGAGGAGAAAATTGCAAATGCAAGTTTCCTAAAGTAAATGCCCTTAGACAGGGAGATCAGGAATAAACTTTATAAAGCTGGGTCTGGCTGAGGATATGTGAAGATCATCACGTTGGTCGCTTGTCATCTCATCTCCATGGAATGCCTTCTGCCAAATCCTCTGGCCAGCTCCTTGTTCCAGCCTCACAGCAAAGGAGGCATTTTCATGCAGGCTTTTGGAGCAACTAGATGCAGGGGGAGCTGGTCTTCCTGCATTTTCTTCCCTTCATTGTCGAAACCACCTTGATGAGGCTTAAGTTTTTTTGGTCCTGGATCTCTCCACAGACAGTAAACTCCTTGTGGAATAAGAACATTTACTTGTCTTTGTAATGCCAGTGGCTCTCCTGGTGAGTGTTACATTTTAAATACCTGAAGCCTTGCCCTTAGCTGTATTTGTTTCTTTGCTTTATGACATATCAGAGAGGCTTAAAAGAAATAACATAATATCAAGTAGTGATGGCTTAAAAAGCCTTGAGTATTTCCCTTAGTGGCAATATTTTCAGTCTACCTTAACATGAGAACAACACCTCATGGTTCCATTTATAGCTCATTTGTGTTTAATTTGAAGAAGGGCTGCCTCAGTACAGTACTTAGTGTGATTTATGAATTGCACTCAGAGTACCTGAAGGCGTGCACAGGTACGGAGGTAACTGACAAGAGCCCTGGAGGACCTGTCAGGATGCCTCTCCGCCTGGATCTGCGGATCCCAGTTCACAGAAGATAATTATTTTCCATATTGTACTCATTTATCCTAGAAATTCCTTTCTGAGGAACAAGTGTGTGTTGTTATGGTTAAAGAAGAAAAAACAGAAAATTTGAAAAAAAGCTTAAGAAAGCTGGCCGGGTGCGGTGGCTCATGCCTGCAATACCAGAACTTTGGAAGGCCGAGGTGGGCAGGTCAGGATATCGAGACCATCCTGGCTAACACGGTGAAACCCCATCTCTACTAAAAATACAAAAGTTAGCCTGGCGTGGTGCTGGGTACCTGTAATCCCAGCTACTCGGAAGGCTGAGGCAGGAGAATTGCTTGAACCTGGGAGGCGGAGCTTGCAGTGAGCCAAGATCGTGTCACTGCACTCCAGCCTAGGCGACAGAGCAGGACTCCATCTCAAAAAAAAAAAAAAAAAAAAAAAAAAAAAAAAAAAAAGCTATGACACCAGCAGACCTAGAAATGTGTTCTGATTGCACCTCAATATGTGAGCTGGTTAAGCGTCTTTTCACCTAAAAATGTGGCTACTACATTCTTAGACGTCTTTACCAGTTTCTGTCTACTGTTGTTATTTTTTGCTGTATCTATTCCACCTGATTCTTCACTATTACCTTCCATATATTAAAGACAGCAGAAACTTAAACACACACCCACCCACCCCCCACATCTTTCTTTGACCTTTCTACCCAACTTCCTAAGGCACCATTCTTTCTCTTCTCTGGCTTTACTCCACCATGGAAACAATAGTAGGACTCCCTTCCCAGCGTTCTAAATGACCAACTCCTGATTTAATTTCTTGCCACCTGCAATCTGCAGTCATCATCACCTGACTCCAGTTCTTGTCTTGGAGGTCAGTTTTCCTAAATTGTAACTTGGACCATTGAGTGCTTCTATTCAAACTACTTCAGAGTCCCCGAATTTGGGCATGGAATTCAAATGGCTCAATAATCTGTTCAGAGCTTTTTTCCTGAGAAAATACTCTGCCACATGGCCTTAAGAGAGATGGGCCAATAGCAGTCAGCAGAAGAAAGAAGGTATGGGGACAATGGGGAGGTTCCTGACTATGGAGCACATCAGCCTTGCAGCCCAGAGGCGTGTGAGGGGTGAGAGAAGGGGAAGAATCTCTCAGCACATAGGTGGACGTGGGGGAGGGAGAGTCAGGCAGAGATGGAGAGGAGAGCAGGGGACAGAACACAGTGACTTGCTGCCCATTTTGTACTGGATTTTAAGAGCAATGAGGAACCATTTTGTTTTAAATGCTGTCATAAATAAGATAATTAAATGTAATAGTGTCTTGATTTTCTAATGGGGATGTTAGAAAAGAAATCCCTCCTATATGAGAAATAGTCACTCATTTCTAAGGAAATGCAGAGACCTTCTTTTAACAAAAATTGCAAGAATATCAAAATGGTAGGCCTTTTATATACAATGTGGGATTTTTCAAAATATTACTGACAAAAAGTGTGATAAAAATGATCCAAGTGACCTGTTAAAATGTAAAATAATATATTTAACAATTGAAGAGAACAATATTGAGTTTGACTGTCTATTAGAGAATAAAGCATTATATGAGGGAACAGTACTTATCTGACTTATCTCCAGAAGTTTTGAGAAAAATATAAATCCAACCTTAAGGCAAATTATTTCAAGAGCACTAAGATAGTTTTATAAGAAACTGCTTTTAAAATGTATGCAAATACTCCTGTAAGCCTTTGTAGTTAACTATTCCTAACAGAAGTGCCAGTTCATTTTCACACAAACCTCAACTTACATCACATTTTTATTCATCAGACATGCTACCTGATCATTCTTATTAACAAACTTTTAATCAGAGGAGTTTTTTTTTTTTTTTTTTCCTATTCTGGGGTTGTGGCCTGCTTTCTAGATCACTGACCATGATTTGTCATAGAAAGATTTCTTTCAAGATGGTAAAACGAATGTCCACATCCCAATGAATGTCATTTCCCCTGTAAAAGAAGATTTGGCCTCCAACCTCTCCATGTACACTTTCTTCTCCTGAGCAGAGGCGTCAACATTGCTATTGACAGCAATAATTAGTGCTGTATTTTTTTTTGAAACAGTATGATAGTGAGCAATGCCTCAAACTAAAAAGTTTGTATCAGTAAATGATAGAAATAATTTCTGCAAGCAGAACAGCTATGACTGTGCCCTGGTGTAGGTGTCTGGGAACCAGGGAGATGGCGTGGGAGATGGTGGGGAGGAGAGAGGGGATGGAGCTGGAGGAGAAAGTGATAAAGAGCTGGGGGAGGAGGGAAAAGGTGAAATTTTTACCATATTTTGAAACAAAATTTATTCTATGTTTCAAAATGATATCAGTGTAGTAGTTATAGTACTATAATAAAAATGCCTCTTCTGTGTTATCATTTGAGAGAATAGGTTCTATTTTTCCAGCCTAAAACAAATACATAGATTAGGTCTTGTAAATATGAAGGAAAACTAACTCATGATCATGTCTTGTGCTGCAATTAATTTTTATTTACTCATAATTACTCCATGATCAAGGACATTGAAGGTTAAAGAATTTGGTACCTGCTGACCTGTTATGCTATATTTCTAAGACAAAAGAAAAAATTGTATATGACAGTGCTATATTATATTTTCCACTTGGATGTTTGAATGTCAAATTATGCAATGGCTTAATGGCTTATGTATGTGTGTGGAGATATATATATATATATATATATATTGCATACACATATATACACATATATTCCATATACATATATAATTTGCATCCCTTTTTAATCATACTGAACTCTATATGAACTCAAATGTGCTGGCAGAGAGCACAAAACCAGTAGGTGGAAAGGTTTGCTGGAGAGACCTGTTAAAATTGAGCTTTGGAAACACTTGGTCACTTTAAATATTACAAGTACGCCTGGAACGCATGGTACTGAGTGACAAAACACCCCGTAGTAATGGGCATCGGTGTAATTGAATGCAGCTTCTTGGCAGCTCTTCCTAGAATTGTTCCTTTTGGTTCTGGACCCATTGATTATAAATTGAGTGTCCCATATAATTACAAAAGATTAGAAAACAGTAGTCTAAAAGAGGGCCATAAGAGACTCTATTCAACAGTTTCTTGCATGGACGTGCTGACAACTGTTGAGTGTGGTGTATGGCTGAATGGGTGCGTGATCACCCAAAGCACAGACAGCAACCACAACTGCCCAGGGAACGGGAATAGAAAATGAAGAATATTCAGAACAGCTGATGAGTTCAAAGATAGACTGATTGGCTGTACCACTGCTGAATATTGAGTAGAGATGAAAAGACGAAATGTCTCTGGAATTGAAACTAGAGTTTTATTTTTTAAAGCAAATTCCTTCTTGCTACTGGACTACTTTAAGAATTTTAGAACTCTTAGGGACCATGCACCTTTATAGGGGTGTAGTTAGGATGTGTTTGCTTGTTTTATCACTGTTATTTTTCAGTTCTATACATTTAATCTCTACTTTTGTGTCTGGCTAATTGTGTTTATTTCATAAATACCTATGGGAAAGAAAGATAGGAAGGAGGAAGGAAAGAATAAAATAAGGAGAGAGATTCTGTTAGAAAATACGGAGGAAGGGATCTCCATATAGAAAGAATTAAAGTTAAAACCAGGCAGTGAATCTTGGGTAAGAATGTCACCACTTTTCTAGTGAGATAGGATTTAGGATTAACCTTTGAGACACACACTATAAAGGACACTTGGATAAACAATCTTGTATTTAAAAAAAAAGGAAAACTAACATAAAGAAACTAAATTAATCTACCTTTTCGAATAAGATGAACCAATTGTTGCTGAATGCAAGCTAAAAAAATTTTTTTTTGAAAAAAAGTATATCTGTTGGAATTTTGTAGGTCAGTGTCAGAGAATGCCACCCAAACTGGAGGAATCTCAAAGTGAAATGTTTAGCACACGATGCTAATGAAGGAAATTGAACTTCTTCGTCAGAAAATACTTGAACTATTGGCTTGCACAATGGTACCAGATCCTGGCCTCTCTCTCCATGTCTTAACTAGCCTTCTGTGTTGGGCCCATTTTTAAGTGAGCTCAACCCTTACGTTGGTAACATTGCTGCTTAAGGTCCTGCTTCAGATTTCCTCACGTTAGTTTCTAGCCAAAAAGAGACAAAACATTTTTCCAGTGGCTCTTATACAACTTTAGGGGATTGGATTGTTTGTTACTCCTTGAGCGCTGTGGTGAGAAAATTAGGTTCACTTTTCAAGATCACAAACCTTATAGACCAAGGGATGGGGTCCCACCCACAACACATAAACTTTCAGGGAGTCAAAGGGCTGAATTGGAAAGAAAATTGGAAAACATTGTCAAAGAAAGGAGTAAAAACAAGTCCACACCAAGAAGTAGTAAGAAAGCCTGGTATGGAAAGAGGCCCACCTTCGTGAAGGTCTGTGTCCATGACAGGCAAAGCCCCTGCAACCCCAGGCACGTTCCTTCTGCCTCTGCTTCTTCCACGCACCTCTCCTCTCAAGACCAGTGGTCTGTTTTCTTGGCTTATCTCCATGTGTTTGTTTCTTGTCTCACTTAAAAGTTTCTCCCTCCCCGTCTCTTCTCCCCGTCTCTTCTCACCGTCTCTCTCACCGTCTCTCTCACCGTCTCTCTCCCTACTAGCTTGTGTTTCCCATTTACTCTCCTGATAGTTTATTTTGCAGTGCAGAACTTTTTAGTCTAATTAGGTCCCACTTGTCAATTTTTACTTTTGTCTTAGTTGCTTTTGGAGTCTTTGCCGTTAAGTCTTTGCCAGGGCCTAGGTCCAAAATGGTATTTCCTATGTTTCCTTCTAGGGTTTTTATAGTTTAGGTTTTCCGTTTAAGTCTTTAATTCATGTTGTGTTGATTTTCTTATATGGTGAAAGGTAGGAATTTAGTTTTGGTCTTCTGCATATGGCTAGCCATTTATCTTAGCACCATTTATTGAATAGGGGAGTCCTTTCCTGGTTGCTTCTTTTTGCTGGCTTTGTAAAATATCAGATGGTTATAGAAATGTGGCTTTATTTCTGGGTTCTGTAACCTGTTGCATTGGTCTATGTGTCTGCTTTTGTACCAGTACCGTGCTGTTTTAGTTACTGTAGCTTGGTTGTATAGCTTAAAGTCGGGCTGTGTGATGCTTCCAGCTTTGTTATTCTTGCTTAGGATTGCCTTAGCTTTTCGGTCTCTTTTTTGGTTCCAAATAAATTTTAGAAGAGTTTTTTTCTCATTCTGTGGAAAATGTTATTGGTAGTTTGAAAGGAATAGTTTTGAATCTGTAAATTGCTCTGGGAAGTATGGCTATTTATTTTAACAATATTGATTCTTCCTGTCCATGAGCATGGAATGTTTTTCCATTAGTTTGTGTCATCTCTGATTTCTTTCTGTTTTGTAATTCTCGTGGTAGAGGTATTTCACCTTCCTGGTTAGCTGTATTCCTAGTTATTTTATTCTTTTTATGGCTATTTTGAATGTGTTGTGCTCTCAGATTTGGCTCTCAGCTTGGATGTGATACAATATTCTTATTATGTTGAACTGTATGTATTTGTCTTGTTTGTCCAAAGGAACTGAATATTGGATATCACAAGTGATGGAGCTTAGTATTTTCCCACAAAACTCATCGAATGTTTTCCTCCTAGAATTCTCTGAAGATTCACACATAATCCTGGATTCCTTTTCATCACTATAACTTGGCCTCCATTGAGTTGCACATGAAGGGAAGAGAGAAATAGCACCTTTAAGATACGTTTTTCGGGTACATTTTTCTCTGGCAGAACAGATCTGATGGCTACTACTAAATTCTATTACTTAGGCAAGTCTGTAAAATAAAAGAGTACTAAAAGAGATTAAGAAAGTTAGACTTATTTTCCATAAACAAAATAGCAAGAACCAAAATGGCATCTCTTCCCTAAATTACACAGTGATAACTTAAAAAATTTACTACATGAACTATGTTGGGAGCATTGCTATACAATCAACCTTTATCTTATACAGGATCATAAATAAGTACATTCTGGAACATGCTAAATTCTGACATACAGCTAGTATGCCAGCATTCAAAAATGCAACACAAACTTCCCCACACTGGAGTGAGAAAAACAGTTTATTCCCAAACCTAGGGTGCCAGATTGTGAACAAAAGCTTTGGTGGTAGATCCCAGGTAGATGCACAGTAAAATTATATAGGTGAGGTGGCTTTAGCATTTATCCAATGTAAACCAGGTGCCAGGCGTTTAAATGCGTTATTTTGTAAACTCTGGGGATACACAGTACTATCAATATTAGATACGAGAGTGTAGGTAAAAATCACCCAGAGCCAGAGAGCTACAAAGACACAGAGCTGAAATTCATACTTTATTGTCTATAGTTGACTGCTTTTAAACCACAGATGGTGTTGTGCATGTTTGGTATTAGAAACCGGGGATTATAATTCAGATCATCTTCATAGATGAGAAACAGTGGCAGGATAGCTTCTTTATATTAACTACAAATAATATTTATTGAATATTTTCTAAGCACAAAGCATTCATCTGAACATACAACATTGTATTTCATTTTCAGTGAACTCTTACAAGAATCCCAAGAGGTAGCTTTCTCATGATTACCTTTTCTGGATGGTGATTCTGAGGTCCCAAGAAGTTGAATAAATAAACTGTGGAACAAGGAGTGAGACCCTGGTAGTCTGATTTCAAGGCTGAGAGTCCTAACCATGAATTTAAGTGCTGTCTGATCTCAGTTCATGTCAGAACTCTGCATCTACAGTCTGTCCTTCTCATATGCTGCCAACCTCCAACACCTGAAAACACTGGGCATGTGCCTGCCCTGGAGTCAGGAAGGAGCAGGGAGAGTTTCTGTGTCATAAATTTAAAATGTATAAAATGTTTCAAAAGCAGATGTCATGTTAAGTTAAGCATGATAGTTTCCCTTTATTTTTTTTTATTTTTTTTAGGTTTTCATGTTTATTAGTATGGATCTAGAGAAGCATTGATTCACTAATACATTTTATTTGTGTTCTCTAATTTATAATTACCTTTTCATATTGCTTGATTTTCCTTCAGCTAAATTAGAAATTTGTAGTTTTTCCCCTAAAAATTTCAATGGCATTGTTTCTTATAAATTACATTCTCTGATTTTCTTGTCAGCCTGCTTCAAGGAAATACATGTGTTCAAAATGCTTGCTCACAGTTTGCTCCATACTAAATGGTTGTCTACCCCAAATATCTGAGCAGTAAATTGAGCTGATCCTTCTGGAGAAAGTGTGGTTGAACAGCCAAGACCCTGGGTAGTCAAAGAGAAGACCACACATCCTGAGCTCCCCAGTCTGGTGTGAGGGGAGGACAGGTGATAACTGGATATGCAGTGTTCCCAGACATCACTGGTCCCAAACCATTACTTCTGCCTGCCACTGCCACAAATACAGTAGGAATGCCATCCCTTTCATACTCAGCTTTAACCCTCAGAGTTTCATCTGGTCCTTTATGCGCAGATGTTACTCAAAGTTCACATGGAATGCCAAAATTTCCACAGGCCTTCTTGATTTTTTCACAGTGACCAAGATCAGAAGTAGAGCCCATCAACACTACAACCCTGCACTGACTTTCTGATTTCAAAAGCAACTCTACTTTCTCTGCAACCCACTCAAAGTTTTTCTTTACCATTTGGAGCCCTTCAGGAGTTACTTCTTTGAGATCCCGATAACACTGTTTGTCTTTCTGTTGGCTTCGATCTCCTGATGGCCAGAGTCTCCAGGAATCATTGTCAATTACATCAGCAAGAACAATTTCTTTGTGGTTACATCAACACCAAATTCAATCTTCATATCAACCAGTGTACAATTCTGGGGCAACCAGGATTTCTCCAGCATTTCAAATATAGCCTGTGTAGCATGACTCATGATATCCAATTCAGTCTGGCCTGTAACAAGTCCAGCGAAGCAAAATTTTGCAGCAATCAGCTGTTCCTCAGACCACTGTGGGTCATTATTGGCAGCATCCTTGAAAAACAACTCCACTTTAGGTGGGTAAACTTATATCCTTCCTTGACACCAGGATTTCTTTTGAGAAAAGAACCAGTTGCTATTCTTCTGCAAACCCATTCAATTGGAATCATTTCGCACTGGGGTGCAATGAAAGCTGTCTCCCCACATTTTCTGGTGAAGGCAGTTTTAATACCTGCTTCCTATAATAACTGAAAAATACAACTGGTGATTTTCTTTGAGATTGCAGCTTTTCCTTCCAGGTGATTCTTTCTAGCTACATTTCCTGCTGTAATCTTGTCCTTGGACTGCAGGAGGACTTTTCGTAGACTTCTTTTGTTTTACCCTCATACAATTTTTTACCAGTGTTCAGTACCTCAGCTGTCGCCATTATCCTGAGTGGGCTGAGGGCTGCGACCGCGCCGGTAAGTGAGGCAGAGCTCTAGAAAAGAGGGGTGATCAGAGAGCATCTCTGGGCGGGGAAGGAGGCGCGGCCCCCAGGCGCGCCCCCTGGCGGGGCCCCGCGACCCTGCGCCACTCTTTCCGAGCTCCGCTACAGCGGCCGAACCCGGAGGGGTATAGGCGGATAGTTTCCCTCTAAAAGTTGAGCCAGCGGAGGCCGAGTATCACCCTGCTATCAGTAATTAGATCTAATATTAGAAATTACCAGTAATTAGAAGTGGTGACTGCTCTATCTGCTTCCTTCCACATTGCCACACACACGGGGTCTCTCCAGTCTTCAGTTAGTATACCAACAATATTGCCTTAAAAACATTAAGATTTAAAAAGTGCCTTTTAAATGAAGTACTAGCTAAACTACTTTTATCTTATTTCTTAGCATTTCACTTAAATAATTACTATTTTCTTGGAAGTATCATTCATAGTCTGAATTGTGTAGACCTCAGTCTTTTAGGATTAATTGACAAATCTATGTATGCATGCTTGAAGTTTGAGGCAAAAGAAACATGTGTTAAGAAAAAAAAATAAAGATAATGGACTACTTTCACAAATTGTTCTTGCATGTTGAAGAAAACCAGATAGAACAGAATTTTGTAAAAGAACGTATTCTAGATTGGATTCAGGCTCAGATCAGAGAGAGATTCAAGCATCATCTTACGAATGTTGATGCCTCAAATGCCACACTGCTGTATTTTAAATGCTCTCTAAATATAAGCATCTTGTCTAAAAGCAGAAAACTACCAACCACCAATTTACATCTCATTGCCAATAAAATAAAATGAGATATCTGTGGTGTTCAACAGAGAATCAGCAAGATACATGATGAATGCTGGAGATGCCACATTAGAAGTGATTATTTATTCATTTACTTGACCGATGCATGTTCTGCACCTGCCATTTTAATCTCAACTGCTGTAAAATATTATACCCAAATTCACATTTTTAAAATAAACCTGGTTGTAGGAGTGTTTACTTCTAGAACAAAGAAAGAAGAAAGAAAAAATAGTCCTAAATGGATATTTTTTAACCCGTTAGTGAATTGAATTGGTGAAATAAGATTCTTGCTTAAGAGCCAAGATGGTAGAGCAGGTGGGTTGTCAGGGCTCATAAGTGGCTGTTAAAATCCATTTTTAGAAGCAAACAGGATATTTATTTTTTTTGGTCTTACACATCTGCACAGTAGCCATTTTATTCGTATTTTTATAATTTATGTACAAATGTTGGCTATTCTATTTCTTAGGAAGCTCCAGCCACTGCTGGGTAAGCTGCACTAACCTGGCTACCATGCAGGATGTCTTTCCTATAATTGTTGAAAACTTTAATTCAGGGGCATGACTGAGGAGGGTTCAGTCTTTGGTGCTGTCACTGTTTGGGTTAAAATCCAGGCCCCGTTGTGTCTTAGGATCATGAAGAACATCTTTAATCATTTCCAAGTGACAGTTTCACCATTTAACGAGTCTGGGCAACACTTATATCTTATAAGGTTCCCGGGAGAATAAAAGTACTATTATTTGTATGATGCACTGAGAGTAAGATGTGCTCTATTATAAAGGGTGATCCTCCCTTCCTTTCTCCTTTCTTCATTTTGTCAGTTTGTATTTTTCTCTAAAAGCAAAGTCTGGGACTCTGAGTCTGTGTGTGAGCTGAGGTTCTCAGAGCCCCCTGAAGTCAGATGACTTCCAAGTGGCTCAGGACTATGGAGATGGATGTGAATCACAGCATTTCAGGAAACCAAGCTCTCTGGTGCTGTCTAGGGTAATCAGCTTTCTAAGTCTCTGCTGGTCTTGAGGTCCAAAGCTTAGCAAAGGGCTGCATGAGCTAATGGTGATCTAACCCACTGTGGGGGCATTTTGGTACCTAAGAGATTCTGAACTGAGGTACCTCTTCCATACCAGCTCTGAGACCACCTCCACACCATCAGCCTAAGAGCAAAGTCTTCCACCAATGCTTTGCACCCCAGTAACTTGCCCAATGTGCCCCATTATGAAAATCACCTTTGCCAATGTTCACCTCCTCATGACTGCTCTAGACTAACAGGCATGAGCTGGTACAATCTTCTAGGAGCAGCAGAATAGATCAGGCTAGGAGTCATATTCAGCAAAGCTATGGAAACATGCTATCTTTTCCACATGGTTTAAAAATTCTCCTGAAAGAAGAAAGAAGGCACTCATGACCCAGAGAGATTCCTTCTTGCCTGATAGTTATATAAATATCCACTTCTAATAATTCAGTGCCCAGAACTGATTTCAGAATTTCTGATATCAGTTAAAACTTGAGGACTTCCATTTTAGTATTGCATTTTTTTACCACTTATGAGCCTAATTTAGTCATCTTTACAAACATAAACTTTCAATGCTGTCAGTATGAGATTCGCTCAAGGGCTGGAATAGACCTCAGCAAATTTAGTTTTAATGGAATCATATCCTTCTAGTCTTCCTGCCAACCCACAATGCTTTGCTGAGATTCTTCTTTTCATGTTATATGAAGAGAGAATTGTGTTTAAGATCTTTGCAGATATGACTTCATTTAAATCTCTTATTAACATTCCAATACATTATCTACATTCTCTTCCACTAGGTCCTTCTGAATTTTCAAAAATATTTGCCCTTCTTTTAATGGAGGCATAATGGATATTTAAAACCATCGGTGAAAAAAGAAATTTAACAGTAAGTGAAATAATTATAAAGGAAACAAATTGTGTCAGGTAGAAAAAACTAAATCTTAAAACACTAAAGGGTCTGTCTCCTCTCATCCAGTGAAGATATTTGGTCTATGTAAAACAGCAGTTAAAATTTCAATGCAAGTGTTATTTTAATCACGGGTTCAAAATTTTAAAAAATCCATATGAGTTTGTTCTTCCCTTTGTAATTGCTTGTGTTACAAGGTAGCACAGTTCATTAAATGACCCTGCAGGGGGAATTTTCCTAGACAGAATGCTACACGCTTTTCTATTTGAGTTGGGAGCCAAATCTTTAGTTATAGAACTAGAGGAAGGTAAAGCCTGTTTACTTGGGCTTGACTTTTCCAATTACAATAGGCCGCAATGTTCAAACAAGTCAAATAAAATATTCATTTTGTAAGAACAAACTTTTACTTGAGTACATAAATATGAATCAGGCAACTGACTTATTCTGTGTACCCTTGGCTATCTTCTAATAAATGTCAAGACATAGAGAACCAAATCCTATGACAATCCCTCAAAAATATGTTAAAGTTTACAAATTATCAAATACACTTTTTTTATCCATAATTTTCACTAATCGTACTGATTAATTGTAGCCATGCACCTCATCCAATCTGTGGGAACTTTTAAGCTCTTTTAACTCTATATTGAGCCAACTTTTATTCACGGTCAAATTCAGTGTGTGGAAATATGTCACAAAAGCCGACATAAAGTATTTGCTTTAGAGGAGTGATATCACCAATATAAGAATGTTTTCCTTAGGCTGGTTGATGCCTTGTGTCAAAGCCTCCACAGTTACAAATGAGGCATCACCAGCTGGATGACCTACTAGAAAGAGGATATGCTTGCAGTTTCCACTCAAGTTTGGAGGATGAATAATTGACACCCTTCTGAGTACAGGCTTCGGGCTGGCTTCAGCCTGTTCATGACAAGAGCTCCCTGGAGCAGGAGGCCAAGTGAAAAGAGGCACTGCAATGAGAAACTGCTAACCCACACATTTGAACAACTCACAGCTAGGTTTTCCTTAGAACCAGGGAAAGCCATGTAATTTGCATAAACGTTTTAATGTTTTTCTTTATTTAATGACAATACTTCCGGTTTAATCTTGGATACATTGTTCTGACCAGGGCAGCAGATTACCAAAGCCAAAGCACTGAATTGAGAGTGAGGAGTCAGAATGTAGTTTCAGCTGGAACAGCCACTGTACAGCTCTCTCCCAGCCTCTGATTAGGAGGCTGTGGCGCTGCGGGTCTTGGGGCACTCTGGCTGGAGGACAGTTTTACCTTGTGTGGTTTTGAGTGTATTATTCACCATCTTGATTTCCTGTTCTGACAGTGGACATCATGATATGTTTCACGAAATACAATTCTTATTTAATGCCTAATGTTAAGTGTATTTCAACTATCTACAAAATTTCAGGTGGGTTGGAGAGATGAATTTGCTGATTACATATGACATGTTAACTCTGTGATTGAATATCTGTGGACTGAATTGATTTTACAATCATTTATTGAAGTTTATGAAAGAGGTCAGTGTTTATAGAGTTAATGCTACCATTTCCAGACATGACCATCTGGATCTCACATTTGACCCAATTCTTTCTAATCTGAAGTCGTCTTTTTTTTTTTTTGAGTGTCTTTAAAAACATTGTTTTATAAGAATCCAAATATGGCACTTTTCTGCCTCCAAAAAACATGTACATCATAAAGCTTTTAGCATTTATTGAAAAAAATAGCTTGAGTTGTGCTTTCTAAATTTAAATTGGTGGACCATGTGAAAATAGATATAATCAGGAATCTTGGAAACTATTACTAACTAGAAAATAATATAGCCAAAATTCATGTATTTTCATTTTTTTGGATTCAAATTAAAGCGACAAAGATAAAATACTCATCTGCAGAAGTATGAGTCACAGTAGAGCTATATTGTACAAAAATATACAGTAAAAAATAGCTGTACATGCAGAGTTTATTTTCAGTACCTACAAAGAATGTGAAATGTAGGTGTTTCTAAGCTCAGTGGCACAAAACTAAAATGTCTTAGAGCATATTTATGGTTTTGCTATGGATAGACCAAAATCTACAATTCTGGTCCTTAAATAAGATTTCTTTAAATCTAAAGTGTTCAAATTCTATATGTAATGAAAATAAAACTGTGGTGTCTTTTATAAAGTTTTATTTTTTAATTGACCTACATAATAATTGTACATATTTATGGGGTATAATCAGTAGTTTTAATGCTTAGATACATTGTGTTATGATCAAATCAAGGTAACTAGCATATTCATCATCTCAAAGGTTTATCTTTTACTTTTGGTAAGGATATTGAAAACCCTCTTTTCTAGCTATTTTGAGATATACATTATTAAGCAGAGTCACTCTACTGTGCAATAGAACAGCAGAACTCTTTCTTCCTAACTGTAACTTTGTACCCATTGAGCAACCTCTCTCCCCTTCCTCCTCCCTACTGTAATGTCTTTTTAAAAGGCATAGCCTAGCTGCTTGTGCTACTGTAATTTGAAATAATTGGTGTTTAGTGGGCTATAATTTTGGACTGAGAAAGGTGCATAAATAGAGGCAAGAGTGGAAACTCTGGAGAAATGAAGTCAGAGTTTATTTTATTGTCATTTGTATATTTTTTACAAAGAGCTTTTTGTAAGTCTTGATTTTTATTTACTAGCTGGGTATGTGGTATAAGTCACTCCATGTTCCTGACCCTCTCGATATGTAAACTAAAATATGGAACCGTCATCGTGAATGATGTTTTACTGGCCTAGGTGAGAAGCTGCATGATCATTATTCCTCACATATTAATTGCTGTGATTAAGAATGGTTACCATATAGTAAGCATTTCTAGTGTTCCCAGAAATGTGCATATATACTCCATCACCTGACTTCTTCATGACCGATACCATTTTACAGTTGAATACATTGAGGACATTTGATTAAGTACAGGATCAGAAAGTACAACAATAGACAAAAGACTAGATTTGAAATAAGATCTAATTGACCCACAAAAGTGAAACTTTTATTATCCTATTGGCCTTATGATTTTTAATTATCTCTTGTATGTGATCTCTTTCTAAAAGGCTGGTGTCTGAGATTATGTTGCCTCCATGCTAAACATCAGATAAGATGACGGTCAGTTATTTATAAATCTGACAGTAAGCATTCTTGGATGGGGGTAAGATAAATGACTATAGAGAAGAGAGTGATCTAGAAAGGGATCTCTTGTTTCATGCGTGGTTGTAAACCAAGTGTGACCCCGTGTGTTTTGTGTGGGAGAGTTTTTGTTTTCATGATGCTGATCCACTGCAGGAGGGCATTCCCTCATCATGCTTAGCCATTGTGCCTCACCACATAATGCCCTTCAGGCTTCTTTCCTTTCTTGCGGAGATGTATTTGCTAGGTTGGGCACAAAGCACAGCCACTATGTGGGATTGCAGGTGACACCTGCACTCGAAAGAAAAGACACCACCAGAAGATGAGAGTGTATCTTAACAAGACGGCGGGACACAGAAAGGAAAATGAGGTTCAGAAGCAGGAAAAGCTATTTGCAGGTGGTAATTACCCTATTTAAGGTAAGACACTGACCTTTGATTGAGAGATAGTGACAAAAACAGGTCATTGCTTGAGCCTTATAAAGACTTATGCTTTTAAAAAATAATTACAATAAGGAATGAATGAACAGCGTTTTCAGTGAACTGGATGAGATTGGAGATTATTGTTTTAAGTGGAGTAACTGAGGAACGGAAAACCAAACATTGTATGTTCTCACTGAGACGGGGGAGCTAAGCTATGAGGACACAAAGGCATAAAAATGATACAATGGATTTTGGGGACTTGGTAGAGAAGAGTGGGAAGGGGGTCAGAAATAAAAGACAACATACATGGTGCAGTGTATACCACTCGGGTGATGGGTGCACCAGGATCTCACAAATCACTACTAAATAACTTGTTCATGTAACCAAATACCACCTGTACCCCAATAACTTATGGAAAAAAATAAATATAAATAATAATAATTACAATAGGACCTTGGGCACAAAACATCAAGGCAGGTTCGTTTCTCTTTTCTTCAGATAAAAGGTTAAAAGGGCTATATAAAGGAGCCAGAGAGAGATGATAGGTAGGTAGGTAGGTAGACAGACAGACAGACAGACAGATCGACTGATCAATCAGAATGAACTGCCTTGAGTTCCACTGATTTTTAAATCACACCTGCTTAATGTCCTAATTAGTTCTAGATTATGCAGTAGAGCCAAAGCCCCATTATATAGCGCAGTATACAGAGACAAAGCCTGGGCTCAGAAAGCATGCCAATCTGCACACCTTCAGGGCAGTCATAAATAAAGGTTTTGTTTGTTTGCATTTTTACACATAATCCCCTATCATAGGCGCACTAGGTTGTCAAAGATGCTGAAGGTCTGGCCAATTATGGCACAAGTCTGTGACTGTAGTAAATGTTGCTAAAATACAAAACGCGGGTGTATCATATTCAACAGACATCCTGAAGTACGTGCCCCATGAGGGTCTCAGAATTGAATGGCTTGTTGCTTCCATTGTTTGTGAAAGAGAAGAGAAAAGAATGTTTGCTGAAAAGCCAAGAATTTATTTAACAATCATTTGGCCAAAGTAAGGTGTATTTATTTTCTTATTGGAGAAAAAAAAAAAGAAAAAAGAAAAAGCAAGGCCCCGAAGCAGCAAGCCTGGGGAGCAGTTGCTGCTGCTGTTTGGAAGTGGAAGATGCTGCTTAGCAGGCTTCCAGGCCCAGGAATCCCCTGGGTCGTCATTGCCAAAAGGGCTCTGGCATCAGCAAACCGCAATTAGCAGGATTTATTTCTTATTTACACTTTCCTTTGGTTTTATACATTCGTGTCTGGATTTTTCAGTGATGAAATGTTGCAATGGAGACTATTTATAAAAATGCTAAAGCCAGCTTGCCAGAGAAGCTTGAGAAGTGCTGGAGGCGTACAGCTAATGCTTCCTGTGTTCCTTTGAGCTAAACATGATATCCGTTTTGTTCTTGACATTTATAACCCTTGGTTAATGTTCCTTTTCTCTAACTGCATTGGGTTTAGGACTCTGCATAGGGAAATAAGAAAAAAATAAATTAATGAGCTTCATTAAATATACATTGTGGTGAGTTTTCTCTTTCACAGGGGTAATGTTGCTGGTAGTAATAAAAGTTTTAAAGGGATTATGAACTCTTCTGTAAAAAATTATCCTTTGAGCCAGTTCGAGTTAGTTTCCCTTGATTTTTTAAAAATAAATATATTGTGAAAATTTTGGTAAAACCCCTATACATGGAAGGGATTCAGAAGTAATGTCAATTTCTACAGGAGGCTGGGAGACGTTAACATAACAATATTAATCAGACCAGTTAGCATATGTTTGCCACCACTGGAAAATATTTTAAACCGAAGACTTCAGTTAATTCCCAAGGAGGAGTTCTAAAATTTTAAACAATAAAAGCAGTTTTAAAATGAGGATACGGCCTCTCGTAAGGATTCTGTATGTACAGCTGTCAATTCCTGAAATGTTGATTAAGATATATCAATCTGGTCATTGCATACCTATACTGTTAAACACCCACCTATCAATTCTTTCTAAACATTCTTAACATTATGGCTATTTAAAACCCACAGGATAAGCAGGTTGCTTCCATATATTGTAAATGTTAATCATTTATTCTTTTGTCCTAACTACATTGTATAGCAGTTCTTGAAAGTAAATACTATCTGACTTTTGATCATTGCATCTCATCTGCTATTCTAAGCAGCCCTAATGAAGTGTATGTTATGTTCTCCTAAACAAACCACTATGAGAGCTTTTAATCCTAAAGATTAACACTATAAAATGGGCATAGTCCCATGGAAAGTATTTCTGATTGGACAGTGCTACTCAGGTGTATTTGACTCAGATCTAGACCACTCCCATGAAGGTCAGAGGGTCAATAGTGGTAGAAGTAGGACCTGCACATGACCTCCCTCTCACGGAATTTCCAGGTTGATCTTCCTAGCGGGAAGTATTGATCTATAAAGTTATGATTTGCTGTATGCTTATACCGTGCCACTTACAGTGCAAAGTGCTTTTTGTGCATTATCTCATGCAGAAAATACATTACAATTCCTGGAAAAAGTCCAGGTACTTCAAATTACCACCGGAGCTCTAGAATCAATAAATTGAAAGGAATGAGAAGAAAATCAAGTTTTGTGGAAAAATCATCAAAACAATGGGGATATCATAGGCCACATATGGTATCATCAAATAGCTCTGACCTTTTTATTTGCAAAATTAGATGACCAGCCCATGTGCCACAGTTTGCTGATGTCTGATATAGATTATTCATTAATAATTGCAAATCTGAATATTTTCATAAGTAATTTTAATGAATGGAAAATTTTATGACATATTTGTTTTATATGTAATGTATATTTATATTAATTTATACATAAACTGTATTTTATATGTTTATACTGATCCTAATTTTAAAATATTGCACCAGTATGCCTGTGTGTGTTTATGTGTCTGAATTTTAACTCTCCACTACCATCTAGAACGGGAATATATTTAAGAATTTGCCATCATGAAACCAAAAGCTTAACCCTATGTAAAACGTATTTGTCACACATCCCTACTACAACCGTATTATAGGGAGTAGCCCTTTGATGTGGGATAGGTAGTTTATTTGAGGATTTATTTCAGTGTGTCAGAAGTCAAGTGCATAGTTGCCGTTAGTTGAGATTTGTAGATGTGAAGTCTGAAACACCACATGCTTCCCTGGTCATGTTTACTCTTTGACTTCTTTTTGTGTAGATACATGTGCATGTATTACATTTTGAAACACACATGCATTAGGTTGGTGCAGAAGTAATTGCAGTTTCACCATTGTTTTTAACGGCAAAACTGCAATCACTTCTGTACCAAGCTAATACAGTATTTTAAAAGCAAATTCTCTAAAAACAATCAAAGGGTATGTACATTCTTACTGCACATGTAGGATTAGCTGATAAGGAACAACAGCTCTGTGTACTGCTTTTAAAAAATGTGTTATGTTTCAGGTATACACTGGGATGATTGTTTTATTCTTAAATCTGATCTTATTATAGGAGTCTAGGCACACATCTGTCCCTAACAATTGTGACCTAAGGGAGAATGTTCTTTTGAGATGTCCCCCTGAGACATCTCTCTCTCTTCATCATCCCCAAGCTCAAAACCAGACATCTCATCTACCAAAGGCACTCTCTCATTTACTAGTCCCAGTTTTCTGGTTTCGTCCACCTACTGAGTCAATTAGACTTAATTGTTTCTCGCACTGCCTTGCCTCCTGCTTCAGAGAGGATGCTCTGCTTCTCAGCATGGTTTAGCTGTCTTTGGTAAAATAACAACCACAAGGTAAAACAGGAAGTTGAAATGGACTGTGTTTAATTATCCGTCTCAATGTGGAGCTCACTGTGAATCTATTGTCTGGCAGCATTATTACCAAGGACTGATCTAAATAAAATGTTTTCAGTAGGATACAGGCTGGAGTTCACCATGCAACACACCGAACTTTACTAGATAGAAATCAGTCACCTGTTTTACAAGAATACGCTAAATTGATATTGACAAATAATTGTTAGCTCGTAATTTTACAAACACCAGTGCCTTTAATCTTAGTAACGTTGTGGAAGTGTTATGATCTCCTTTTAAAGATGAAGATAAGCAGAAAACAGTAAAATAATTTATGGAAGCTCCAGAATCAGAAATCAGTAAGAGAATTAAAATTTAAATCGTCTGGCTCTAATATAATATTCCTTGTATTTTCACAACTTTTTCTAAAATATAACTGAGTGTAGTATGTGGCACTTTGCTACAAAATTAAAATTGGAATCAAGCCAGTGTTCTGGTTGTCTCCCTGTGGTAAAGAATCCTGACTTATGTCAGTTCACAACCCCCCTATTTAAATATTTTCTATGTGATAGTACCTGGAGGTATCATTGAACGCGAACGTTTATGCAGAAGTGGAGAACAATGCAGCCCGTAGTGGAATTTCACAGAAATATGGTGCCACCATTCCTATGGGGCCCTGAGACGCTGTTGGTTCCTAACCACAACTCTGCTTCTTGTTCTCTGAGCCCGAGTGCTGCCTAATATAACATGAGGATCCGAAGAATTCTCTAGAGGCACCATAAGAATAACCTGAGTTAACGTATAGTAGATATAGTAGTAGCACTGTGCAGTTGTTCAAAACTTAGTAGCAATATTTTCATATTAATATTAAAACTAGCAACAAGTAATATTATATACATGCTGCTAGTTTAAATTTTCAGGAGGGTCTTGAAATGAACTCCATGTTTCTCTATATTTAGGCCTTTGTGAAAATACTTCCTAGAGTGACCATGGGAACAGGCTCTCTTCTAAACTAATGTGGGTCGCCTCATCTCTTCTTCACCTTGGTGTTCTGGATCATCTGTGATTGTCCTGGCAATCTGGGCCGGTGCCTGCTTCTTCAAATCTGAGATCCAAACACTCATTTCCTAGAATCATCACATCTGTAATTTGTCAAACTGCCCTCAAGTCCTGGATTTTTGTGCTGGCATTTCTGAGGTTGCTGTTCCCTCCGTCTCATTTAATGTTGGTCATGGACTCCAACTGCCTTGACTAATTCAGGATGGCTGCGGCGTGCCACTCCCTAACTTGTCCTCTCTCTGCCTTTTCTGTCCTATGGTACATTACATTGAAGAAATATTTCTTAACAATATTAAGGGGAACTTTCTGATTGGTTTTAATGCCTAAGAGGACCCATCCCCAGTGCATCCACATCCACACGAGTGAGCAGACTCTTGGATGGCAGGACACATTCTGGAGATATCCCATCCCCACGTGGGCCATGACAGACGCTGCCTTGGTCCAGCAGTCTTTCCTCTTAAACAGCATAAGATGATGTTTTTGAAAATAAAAGTGTTGTCTAAAGTTTGCTTGTAATTAACATTGATTAGTTGCTTAAAATATCTTTTTTATTCTGTCTTTCATAAATAAATCATATTTGTTACCCTTGGTCCTTCTGATAGGAACCCCTGAATTCTTACAAGGAAAATGATTGCTTATTTTATACCCTTCCAATATCTTAATTTCTAATTGAAGTCAATAAGCACAGACTTTATTTAGATTCTGTTTTATTGTATACTTCATGGAAGTTTATAAACTCTAAACACTATCTTTGAATAACACTTTTCTATAAAAATTCGTAGTGTTCCTTCCATCTATTCACTGCTACATATCACCTTGATTCCTCTGGAGACTTTATGCTGGACCTGATGTAATCATTGCAGTTTTTCTATGATTCATCCTCAAGCTCTATTTTTCCTATTTTAGTGATATGTCCTACAATCAGAAAAAAATAATCAAATTCTAGTTGATGTTGAGAATATTAGAATTACTGCATGGTTTCCTGGGGAAAATTCTGTTTACACATATTATTTTAAATATTTCCTTCTGTTGCTCTTTAGTACCTTTTAAATTTTTCCTTCTGTTGCTCTTGTATATCTTGATTTCCTATTGTTCATATATTAGTCCATTCTCACACTGCTTTAAAGAAATACCTGAGGCTGGGTAATTTGTAAACAAAAGGGGTTTAATTTGCTCAAGGTTTTGCAGGCTGTACAGAGAACATCATGCTGGAAGCTGCCTGGCTTCTGCGGAGGCCTCAGGTAACTTTCAGTCATGGCGGAAGGTAAACAAGGAATCAACACTTCACATGCCTCCAGTAGGAGGAAGAGAGAAAGAGCGAGTGGGGGTTGGCGGGGAGGTGCTACAGGCTTTTAAACAACAAGGTCTCCTGGGAAGTCTGTTATGAGAATAGCAACAAAGGCATGGCACCAAACCATTCATGAAGGATCCACCCCCATGAGCCAATACTTCTGCCATCTCCAACATTAGAGGTTACAATTGAACATGAAGTTAGGGTGGGGAAATGGATCCAAACCACATCAGTTGATTAACTCCCAAACTTACTTTTGGTATTAATTCTGTATTATCAGAATGTCTATATGTCTGCCTGGACATGATGATATTCTTTTTTATAAAGTACTTTATTTCCTATATGTAAAAAAATATCAAGCATATTACTCTAAATGGCATTGTTAGAGGAGTATACTTACTACCATAATTAATTTACATTTACATGCGGATGTTTCCAACTGGAGGTGGGATTCAAGAATGCTTTGGTTCTCTGATCTTACTCATGGATTTCCTTCAGTTTTGAGAGACCTGCCCTCAATTACTATAACTTGCTCAGGAAAGTAAGATTCAAACTGCACTGTTAATTTAACATTGCCCCATTCGCAAATGCTGTCTATTTAAAAGGAAAGAAAAGATGATTATTTTATTTTTATTTTTTGAGACAGCCTCGCTCTGTCACCCAGGCTGGTAGGCAGTGGCACGATATTGGCTCACTGCCACCTCCACCTCCTGGGTTCAAGTGAACCCTCTCCTGCCTCAGCCTCCTGAGTAGCTGGGATTACAGGCATCTATCGCCATGCCCAGCTAATATTTTGTATTTTTAGTAGAGTTGGGGTTTCACCATGTTGGCCAGGCTGGTCTTGAACTCCTGACCTGAGGCGATCCACCCACCTCTGCCTCAAAAAGTGCTGAGATTTCAGGCGTGAGCCACTGCACCCAGCCAAGAGTAGGATTTTTGTGTTAGAAAGCGTATTTAATAGTTTGGGCACTGGTGAGTTTCAAAAGTAATTCACACAATTAAATTTTTATTTTTTTAACTTTATTGGGAATTTATGACATGGCATGTAGATTGATAATATTAATTGCTTCCTTAATATGATTATATCAGTATTTAAGGGAAATGGGTAATGTTCATCATAAGAGTGGTGCTTATACACTAGCGTGGCGTGCAAAGCCTGACGATAAAGGCTGCACAAACACATTGCAGTGCTCGTTCAATAACCCAAAAGGAGATGACAAACACTCCTGAGGAATCCTTGGTATCCTGATATAGACGAGAAAGGAGGATTCAGTGTGAAAGTAAAAGTAACTTTCTTTCAACTGAATCATAAAAACTGGTTGAGGAAGCAATCTGAGAGTATTCTTTATCCATGAACACAAAGAATCTCTGTGCTGCTCTGGGGTGCACAGGCCTCCCCCAAACAGCGATACGTTAGTAAAGCAACTGCTGCAGAAACAAGGAGCTATTGGGATTTTCTGGTCAGTTTCTGCTTTCCTGAAACAAAAAGCCACCAGTCAGTGAGCTTAGAAGGCAGAACTGCAAGTTTATAAACACCAAACTGCTAGCTTGGTGTAGATTGAGTATCCCTAATCTATAATTCCAAAATCTGAAATACCCCAAAGTCTGAAACTTTTTGAGCTGTGACATGTCATTCAAAGGAAAGGCCAGAAGGAAATGCTCACAGGAACATTTCAGATTTCTGATACTTTATTTTTAATTAGGGACACTCAACTGGTAATATATATGCAAATATTCCCAAATCTGAAAAAAATCTGAAATCTGAAATACTTCTGGTGGCAAACATTTCAGATAAGAGATATTCAACCTGTATGAGCATTTCTTGTTAATTGGTCAGTGCTAGAAGTCATACTCATCCATGTATCTTTAAATGTCCCATGTGTTATATTCCAGCAATGTTGCAGGGATGAAGTATTGTAAGAAACCCAATTTCTTACGTTATTCATCATTAATAACAGGATTAAATCCACATTTCATGGAATGATTCAGAAGCAGACATACATATCAAACTTAGGAAATGTTAGTATCCGAAATTAGATGAGTACCTTAAGCCCTGGAAGACTGATCTGTTAGCCAAGAGGTTCTTCCGGGATCTGAATCCACTTCATCTGAATTCAAGCCTCAAACTTAACTCAATGCACATCCTTTCACAGATACATTTTTATGGCTTCTTTTCTGTACCTTCAGATTCCACATCTTTACATTTTTCTTTATGATAAAAATACTAAGAAAAAATTTTAATTCAAAACACTTTGATATTTTTCAATACACTTTAAGACATATGTGACTGCTAAAAACTTTTCTCAAAATATCCATGCTGTAATACCAGATCCTGTGAATGTTATATTATGTTTTGCTCCATGACCGGATGACGCTCATGATATAATTAAAGCTATAGGCCTTAAAATAGGGAGATCATTCTGGATTATCAGGGTGGACCCAACCTAACCACTCAAGTCCTCAAAGGCCGAGAACTTTCTTTGAATGGAGTCAGAAAAAAAGCAAGGATAGAAGATGCGTAAAGATGACGTGAAGGAGAGATTTGACGTGTAAAGGACTGGTTCACTGTTGCTGACTTTTAGGATAGAGGAGTGTGAGGATTTGAGGAGCCCAGGCTGCTGCTGGAAGCAGAGAATGATGCGTGGACATCAGCCAGCAAGAAAACAGGACTTCATCCCTACCACCACAAGGAACTGACTTCTGCTCTCGGTGGACCCAAATGACCCTGGAAGCCTATTCCCCGTCAAGCCTGCAGGAAGAAATACAGCCTGCCGATACCTGGTTTTAGCCCAGTGAGACCGACGTGGGACTTTTAACCTGCAGAGCAGTGAAACGAGACATGGGTCTTGTTTGAAGCCAGAATGTTTGTGATCATTGTTGCAGGAATTATCACGAGATCCCCGGGATGGGCTAGAGTAGCAGCCGAGGGGCAGATTCTGGAGGCTCCCTTCATGCCCACCGCTTTGAGCACAGACTCCCTCGTGGATTAAAACCACAACAGAAAAGGTATCGTTGATGGAAATAAAAACAAACTTTGGGAACATCAGGGATGTGGAAAGTCAACAACTTGCGCTGTGAAATGACAGCCATCATCTCTCATATAGACTTCTCCCTCCGCTAGCCTGACATGCTGGACACAGGGGACACGGGTGAAGTTTTTACTTTGCGTATGTTTTAATTTGACTGCGTAGAAATCATGGTGTTAATCAGGAATTCACGGACGTTTCAACATTTAATTACTCAATATTTCAACATCCCATTTCTTTTCAGGATTTCGTTCCTTAGAGTGGAAAATGCCTAGCAGCAAACTAATAACTTCTAAATGAATCAGTAATGCAGCATAACTGCGCATTCTCACGACTGAGCTTCGCACGGAGGATGTGTATTTAAAGTAATGTTTTGATTTGGATTTGATATTTTAAAATGGAATGCAAGCTTCTCTGCAGTAGCAATGCAATTTCCCTGAAGAGGGCCCAAAGCCTGGTGTTCTTTTTAATCGACTTATTTATTGTCAGCTGGGAGAAACTTTAATACAATTAGATATGGTAGAGAACATTGGTATTAGAAACTTGGAATTACAGAATGTAGACTGACTTCCTCATCCAGCTCTGCCTCTTGAAAATTGCTAATTTTAGGCAAAGCGGCCTCCATTTCTGGGCCTCAGTCTTCTCTGTGTAATGTGTGTTTAAACTGAATCATATCTTCACCAATTTTAACATGAGGTTATATGTTGAGTGCTATGAGTTATTTACAAATCTTGAATATTAACTCCTTATCTGATATATGGTTTGGAAATATTGCTTTCTGAATCTGTAAGTTGCCTTTTCATTTTGTTGATTATTTCCTTTGCTGTGCAGAAGCTTTTTAGTGTGATGTAGTCTCATTTATTTATTGTTTGTTCTGTAGCCTGAATTTTTGGTGTGATATATGGGAAATCATCGTCAAGGCCAATGTTAACGAGCATTTCCCCTGTGTATTCTGGGATTTTCATGGTTTCAGGTCTTATGTTTAGGATTTTTATTCATTTTGAGTTGATTTTTATGTATGGTATAAAGGGTCCAATTTCATTCTTTTGCATGAGAAAATCTTGTTTTCCTAACACCATTTTTTGACAAGATTATTCTTTCCCCATTGTATCCTTTTTGTACTCTTGTTGAAAATTAGCTGACCATATATGCTTGGATTTATTTCAGCTCTCTATTCTCTTCCGCTGGTCCATGTGCCTTTTCTTATGCCAATGCCATAGGTTTTGATTACTATAACTTTGTACTATAATTTTAAATCAGGAAGTGTAATGCCTTCAACTTTTGATTTTTTTCTCAGAATTGCTTTGGCTATTTGAGGTCTTTTAGGGTTCCACACACATTTTAGAAATTAAAAAAAAAATTCTGTGAAGAATGCTATTGGGATTTTGATAAGAATTAGGAAATATATATAATATATAAAAGCTTAATTACGTACTACATATATATATAATAGCTTAATTACATATTATATATATATTTCTATGTACATATATAGTTGCTAATTATATATAATATATATTCCCATACACATATATATTTACAAATTTTATATGTAATTAGGAATACATATATGAATATGTATATAGGAATATATATATACAGTAATTTATAAGTATATAGGAATATAAAAATTTATATATAGGAATATGTATTGAATCTGTATGTTGCTTCTGGTACTATGGGTATTGTAACAACGTTAAGTATTTTGATCTATGAGCATGAAGTATCTTTTCATGCATTTGTGTCCTCTGTGATTTATTTCCTGAATGGGAGAAAGGAACCGGAGTAACAGAATAATGTCTTTCTGCAAAAAGGGAGGGAGAGAGAGTTTCTGTCCAGCTTTTGCTTTTGAGAGTAAATAACTTGTTATTGTTCTTATTTTTAATCCCAATTAATCATGAGGATTCATGATTTTTATTAAAGGAAAAAATGATGTTAGTGGTGGGATGCATATATTCTTTAAGAGAACATAATAACAACAACATAAGCTTTTTAAAATGCCAAGTAGAAAATGCTAAACGTGGCAATTCACATTGTAAAAGGCAAGGGAGGGGCAGCAGGCTGTGCCTTGACTTACCTGGTTTGGACTTCACTTCGTTTCCCACCTCCTATGCAACTGACGTGCAGCTCCACAAATCCGTCAGCCTTTCCAAGCCTCCCGTTTCTTTTTCAACAGATGAAATTTAGATCAGAAATTATCTTAGAATATTCATTAATTTACAATGCTTATTTTGCAACATTGGCAAAATTGCTGTTTGGTGACATAGGTATTTTTACTTCAAAAGAAAATATTCTAAGTATTTCATAATTTTTTTCAAATGTTATATTAATACATAGGTATTTATCTTCATAAGTGATCTTCAGATAATACCTTATTCTAAAGTTTTCCCAAAATGCCAAGAATAGTAAAATTGCACTTGTTTGCTCCTCATGCATAATTCCCTCATTGAATAAAACCCATAGTATACTTACTTAAACGGTAATTGTAGTAGCTTATTAATCACACTGAGAAAGATTCCTTCAGGTGTACTTTCAGGCACTCAATTTGTTCTGGCTGCCTTTTCCAGTGTTTTATATGCATCTCTTCATTTCATCTTATCTATAAAGCCATGAGGTATGTGGTGTTATTAGCCACATCTTACAAAGCTAAAATCAAGAAAGGTGAAATAAATGGTCAAGGTCATAGAGCAAGTAGATTTTGAACCAGATCTGTCCATCTGCAAGCCCCAAGCTGTTAACTGTTTGCCTCACACATTCTAAATGATATTCCCCGAGATGGCTTTGTAGTACCTTACAGTCAGGTATATTGGTCTCTTCTTCACATGAAATAACAGTTTAGTCACAAGTTAATTTATTTACCTGACTTTTAGGTAAATGGTGAGGAATCAATAACGTCTATCAAGATTGCTGGAAGACTCGGCTAGGAAAAAGGGGAGAAGTGGAAGTCATGTCTCAGCCACCTCCCCTTCCCATATGAATAATAACTGCTTCTATTTCCATTTGTTTTATTAATTCCTCTCTTCCCATAAGATGTGCCTATACTGTAAACAAGCCAGTAGCATCACTAAGGAGAGGGACACTCCTGGGGAGTTTGGTGCTCCAGTGCCTCGGGTAAGTGTTTGGGAACGCCAACACCTTTCCCTCCCATCTGTGATTGACTGTACTTTGCGGGTATCACCCCTTCCACGCAGAGAAGACCAGGTAAACAGAACAAATCAGAAACAGCTCTGAGCTCGTGCAATCCAAAGCATTTTCTACAGAAGAGGCTCAAACAAATGATTACCACAGAGTTTCATCCCAAATAACTCAGCTAAGGAGCTAAGCACCAAGGCCTTTAAGAGAATCAACTGCAAATAATGCATTTTTGTTTCCCTGACGTTTAACACAGTCGCTGACACCCGGCAGACTGTATGGAAGGATTTTCTGAATGGAAAGAACAGGAAGCTTTGATGGACTTGTCTTCCTCTGTGTACCGGCTCATGTTACGATCATAGGCGAGTATACGAATGAGTGTGGTGGGTTCTTACCTGTGCTCTCTCGGAGGTTAGGGGCTGACATGAAGGAGGAGCCCACAGAGCAGCACTCATGGGAAGCTCATTCCAACATAAAAGGCATCTTCCCAAAGTCATCCATCAATGTCCTGCTAATTTTCACCACTAGTTTTGTTTTCCAAAACATCTGTTTATAATTTTCTTTTACAGTTATGAGAGAACACATAACTGCTGGGTGGAAGGTCCTATGCAAGGGGCTGAAGACATTAAAAAGAAGACTAACTCAACGCATGTGTCTGTTGAACGTAAATGTGAATTGAATGCCCACCATGCTCCACACTCTGTGCTAGATTGACCCACGCCCTCGAGTACGAAGGATGCAAAATTTACTTTCCATTTGTTTTATTAATTCATCTTTTACAATAAGATGTGCCTACACTGTAAACTAGCTAGTAGCATCACTCAGGAGAGGGACACTCCTGGGCAGTTGGGTGCTCCAGTGCCTCGGGTAAATAAGTGTTTGGGAACACCAACCCCTTAAGTAAGCAAATAATTGCACAAAGGATAAATAAATGCAAAATCAAGCCTGAGCACAGAAGTGGTGTTTCATCCAGCCTGGGTACCTGTGAATGCTTTCATAAAAAGGTGACTGTGGGTAGCTAAATGTAGAATAACGAAAGACGAAGAAGCTTAAAGTAATAGCAGGTCGCAGGTCCTAGGGAGGACTGTGTTGATGAATGCGGAAAGGGAGGAGAGGCCCCAGAACACACAGGACAGGATGGTGAGATACTAATCCATGTGGGGGTAAGTTGGTCTCAGGCAGGTAGACCAGCAGCCAGCGGTGAGGGAGGCAGAGCCCCAGTGAGCTATGTGCGGGATTGGTCAGGATGATGTTTTAATGAGAATGATAGTGCACAGGTACCAGAATAAAAAGAAAGGGATTATGTTTCGTAAAGGCAAATGTGATTTTCTTCACAAGTCTCTACATTTGAAAATAAATGTCTATTTTCTATCACCATGATAGTCAACTCTACTTGTTTTAATTGGCATTTAAAAGTTTTGTTTCTTTTCACCTTGCATCCATTTGGGACTCGACAGTGTACATCTGCAAATTATGGCCTTCAATAAGCTAAGGGCTTTTCAGTGTTCATTAACATGGTATGTCCAAACTGTTATTAACCCACTGCATCGCTTTGTCGAAATCCAAATCATTTTTAGATATAAAAAGTTGGGAGGATTTGTACTTTAGATAACATTATAAAGCAGTATTTCCTGAAAGGTATTATTTAGTTGTATCCATAGTACATTTTTCCAAGAAGACAAGAGCTAAGAAATATTTTCTTTTTTAGACTATCTTCTTATCTTAACTCAGTCAAAGTGTCTCTGTACATATTTTTAATAGGGCCTAATCTTCAAGCCCTGCGGAAAATATCAACATAAGATTTAATGTATATTTATATATTTATACATATGAGAAATCATAAGAAATCATGGTTAACATAATGTCCATTGATGTAACATATGTAGAATCCAACTCTCATTGTGCGTACAAACCTTCATAAATCAGGCGTGAAGAAACACCGTAGGATTAGTGGAGGTTCTGTTTACTTGGAAGCCTGAGTTCGGAGTTCATTCCCTCAGGAGCCACCATGGGCTCCATGGGAGTGCCTGAGTTATTTATTATTAATTGATTTTGTTGCTTTTTCATTCAGTAAACACGCAATAAATGCCCTGCTGCATGTTGGGCAAGATTTGGGCAGAAAGCATATTTCTCAATTATCCTGACAATGCAATGCAGTGAATTTTAGGTCGTTGCATAGTTGCCTGACTTTCTGGTTGCAGCTCTCTTCTTTTCTTTGTAAAGCACGTTAGCCTTCTGTATATATTCGTGATCGAAGGAGAACTCTGTCTCACGGCTTTGGACGATGTTCTCGTTCAATCCACAAACCTAATTTCTTCTTGTGTCCTAACAACCTTACACCAGGCCCCCACATCATGCATACATAGTTGGCTCACCGAATGAAAAAGGTAACTAGCAGGTAAGATAGTCACGACAGGATATTCTGCTACTCCATACCTCATTCCACTTGTTGCCAACGCACCAGCACATGCTCTGTTAGTAGGCAACATATGTTCATGGAAAATGCATCAGGTCTACAGGACTAGTACACAAAGCATTGTACATTTTATCAAAAGTTTATTTGGCTGTAAAATATTATTAATGTAATAACCTTTGAAAAAATGTCTTTCTTCTAGCTAGATTTCCACATAGTTTCCAAACATTTATGTAAAGATTAAAAAATATATATTTGAATGAATGCCAAACTATGTAATACATTTTTTAATCTTTACATAAATGTTTGGAAACTATGTGGAATTAGCTAAGCTCGATTCTTCAAACCCTTTTGGCATTTAATGATATAAATGTTTGTAAATCAACAGATTAGCTTCTGGGCCAAGAGAAATCAGCCCAGTTACTAAGCTCTCTCTAACTATTGTTAACTCCACATCCAGCTACCTTTCATCAACCCCCAGGCTCTCTCTATTATGGAAATTATCCCAATAATTTAAACCCCAACTAAAATTCCTCCTCTTGATGCCTGCCCAATTGGGCACAATCTGAATTAGCCACTCCTTCGTTTGCTCCAGCACAGCAAGTTTGCTTGGATATATCTTTAGTGAGCAGTTTTCTGCCTTGCATCCAATTTTTTCTCAGCTGCTCAGGAGGTTGATAGCATTGTCCATATCTCAGTTGATCAATTAGTGAGTTATTTCCATTTCTTTCTTTGCCTTCCATTTCCTTCCCAGCAGTATAATTTTAAACTAAATAGGCATCTGCAAACACTTTTTGAACTGAACTGCATTTAATTGAATTACGCTTTGAAACAGTATACAGTGAATTATCTTGAAAGACTATAATCCTCAATGTATTATCTGACAATCCGATGATGTGCTTCTTCAGTTTTGTGGAGAACAATGAAGTGAAAATGATCCCAGTCACAGAAGGGATTGCTACCCCTGAGTTAGAGCTGTTTAATAGCTAAACTCTTTGTGTGGCACATATGGAAAGTCATTATTGTAAGATTCAGCCTAGGTAAGAGCTATGCCATTTTTTTTATGAGACGGAAGAACACAGTTTCTAAAAAATAAAGAAAAAAAGTCACGAGCTATATTAACTGTGTGAACATCAGAGGGAGACCCAAGATTTGAACCCAGTGAATGAGCCCATGCGTTGCATACCTGTTCCTCATGCTGTGTGATAGCTCTCTACATAGGTGCGAAAACATGCAGTTGCTTAATTAAACAAGAAATAGCCATTCCAGGGTATTCAATAAACAGCTCTAGAATTTTAAATAAAGAGTGTGCAACATGGAAATTACCTTCAAATAACCATCCTCAGCAAAGGTTTTTTTTTGTTGTTGTTGTTTTTTTTTTTTTTTTTTTTTTGAGATGGAGTCTCGCTCTGTCGCCCAGGCTGGAGTGCAGTGGCGCGATCTCTGCTCACCGCAAGCTCTGCCTCCTGGGTTCACACCATTCTCCTGCCGCAGCCTCCAGAGTAGCTGGGACTACAGGCAGCCGCCACAACACCCGGCTAATTTTTCGTATTTTTAGTAGAGATGGGTTTTTTTTTTTTTAACAAATTTTTATGTTTTGAAAAGTGGGTTAAGAACACCAAAGAGAATTATCTAAATCCAGTAGACAAAAATCTTTCCACTCTTTTTTAGAAAACAGTAGTTTAAATTGATATTTTTAGAGAGCAGCTTGGCTGGTTTCCAATTTGGGCAGAACACTTAATTTGAAGAATTCCATTCCTTGGAATACTAATTGTCTTCTCGACTTAATACTTTTAAGAATACAGACGATAACGTAAAATTATCTTCAATTTGTTTGAATCCAAACTTGATAAAATTGTAAAAAAGTAATATGCCAGAAAATTATTAATCTCATGATTGCTCCTTTGTGAATTGATACTAATTTCTAGGTTCTAAATTTATACATTTTGCTCTACTATATGTTTTCAAAAAGATAGTCTCACCTCTACCCCCAATATTATAGAGAATATATTTCCCTAATCTCTGTACAATACGACTGTCTAACTTTTATTATCTACCTCTGAAAAACACATGGTCACTCTCATGATTTCAGCAGTGGGTGCTCCTTAGAGAAAGCAAGAAAAACAAGAATAATGCGAAATCTCATATAAAGTAGATTACCTCTCTGGAGGTGGAGATTGCATAGATGATGCAGACAGAGTGCTGTCTGTTGCCAGCGTAATTCATGGGCATCTAGCAGCTGCTTCTTGTAAGATCTAAATGAAAAACTAGACGTTGGTTTTCTATCAGGGTCTGATATTTTGACATGTCATAAGTGGCATAAGGAATATAATTTGTTCAGACTCAATATTTTGAAGTGCTCAGGGTTATGTAGTCGTGGCTTAATCATGTATTTTAGTTTTCTTTCCGTTCAGGAAAATATTTCAAATGGAAATTAAACCATGATCCTTTAATAATTTTAATTGCAGTCTTTTAGATAAGTTAACATATAGTTAGAAACGACTGCCCTGCCTCTTGAAATGGTATTCCAGAACCAGTACATTGCATATTTTCTGCTTAATAATATACTTCAATCAAAACTTGCTTGAAACTCAATCTTTATTTATATCTCAGTGACCATTTAATCCATTAAGTATAATTGGTAAAATGAGGTCAAAGAGTGGAGGCATAAGTCATTCAGAAAATACGCAGCAAGTAAGACAATAGATCTGCTCTTTCTATGGTGCCCCAACCATAGAAAAATGGTTGATACATTATAAGAAGTCATCAATAAATTATTGAATGATTATGGAGCTCTCATCATGTCACTATTATAAATAATGCACCCTTCTTTGTAAGTGACCTATATTTTACTCTCAGCACAGACTGAATTAACTGCCTAAAAACCTAGAACAGGAAGGACTGTGAATGCAATAGGAAATCTTGCTGTGATAATTGGGGATGAGATCATTCAGGAGGGAAAGAGTTACTTTATATCTACAAAGCACATGAAATTCACGAAGGACTGTTCTTCCTTTGTCCAAAAGAGTTTTCAGAAAGAAAACACGGAATAACAGTTTTGAAGTCAATTCTACCCCCAGATCTTTAAGCTGTTAAATTGATCGTTGACAGTTTTTATTTCCTGTATTAACCTCTTCGTCTTTGTAACTTCATGCTGAGTTTGGTATCTTTTCTGTCCATTCAACAATTTTTGACACTGGATGTTACAGCTGTACCCTGGAAGTCTTGCTAGGGGTGCAGGGTAAACTCACAGTCTGTCTTTGCAGAGGGCTTCCTTATCTGTCTCCTCCCACACGCCACCAGATATTGAGAAATATAAGCCAGTCTAGACTTTTAAAATTATAACCCTACCTACAATGCTGCTATGGCAGGGTGTATAAATGAGATGCCTAATAAATATTATTAACTCCAATACATACCAAAGAAAGATCTTTTCTTCGCGTTAGTAAATGGTGTAATTTAGATACATTTTTTTGGCCTCATTTCAAAGAGCTCAGAGGAGATTCAGGCTGCAGGAGCACTGAATTGAGATGGAGGAAGCACAATAGCTCGCTCTGGTGATGCATCTGGGCCTGAATAATGACCTTATTGATAGAGAACCACACAGCTACAGCAGAGGTGGAGACGCTGCGTCCTATGCAAATGCGGGGCCCATCACTCAGGCTCAGAGGGATGCACTGGTTCTTCCTGTGTTGATGGGACTATGAATTTTTGAAATGTAGGTTACTTTTTTGATGTTTTTTAGGAGACATATATGCTTACCTATGTAAATTTGATATCTGTAATTTAAATCACAGCATGTTAAATAACTGAGATGCTTGAGAAAATACACGTTTGATATAGCATGAAAATATATGTAATAGCTCAGAATACCGATAAAATGGATTTTATTAAATGTATAGCAGTAAACAAAGTTTACTGGTATAAATATAAACTTATTAAATGTTATACCAGTAAACAGCTATTCTTTCTCTCTCCCCAATTACCCGTAAACCACACAATTATCCCATTAGTTTAGATTTTAAAATAGCGCAAGCAGGTACCATGCAGATATGATTTTAGCACAACAATTATAAATATACGAGATATTTTGGTTCTCTTTTGCTAGGTGGTGACATCTTACCTTTTACATTTATTTCAGTTCCATTATTTTATAGGGGAAATTGAGTTTAAAACACCAGCTACTATACTTACATCATTTGAGACTTATTTGGTCTTAATCAGTATCCTGAGTCTTAATATATTAAAAGTTGTAATTGAGTTTTCCATGTTAATTTTGGTTGCTTTTCCACTGGGAATCTAGATAGATAGATAGATAGATAGATAGATAGATAGATAGATAGATAGATAGATTGATAGATAGATAGATAGGTAGGTAGATAGATAGATAGATAGATAGATAGATAGATAGATAGATAGATAGATAGATGCATGGTACTATTTTGCTATTTTATTTACTACCAGGTTTATTCACAATATTAAGACAAAAAGATAAAACAAGTTACATGCTCAGTAGTTAAATATAATTCTGCCCTAATTCATTACTTCAGAATAAACAGTGCATCATTTAATTGAGCAAAAACACCTAATTATTTTAATAAAGGTAGTCTATATGCTTCTGAATTATAATGATTTCATTTGGGAGTGTTAAAGATAAATGGTTTATAATAAGAGGTAACCATCGCAGCTATGTTAACATAAGGAATTTCAAACTCTAAGTCAGAGCTGCCCAAGTACATATACAATTTATGATGAAACTACATATGCAATATTAAATGTTTAGTATTCACACTAGAAATTATAAAGGAAACAGGTAAAATTTATTTCAGCAACATATTTTATGTAATTGTGTGTATATATATGTGTGTATATATATATATACACACACACACACCAAGTAACACGATTTCAAGATGTAATTAATGTAAAAATTGACTTTTACATTTTGTTTCCATTAGTTGTTCAAAATCCCTTGTGCATTTTACACTGACCATGCTTTCCTGTTCTGAAGAGCCCACTTTGAATGTTCCATAGTCTCCTGTGACCTCCTGGCTACTCTGGTAGACACCAACCTTCAGCTAGTCCCTTAGATTTCGCTTTCATAGTGACTTTTTTCATTTCCTTTACGTGTAGAAGACTCTTTTGCATATTCACTGAATACATTTACCTGCAGTCTGATTAACAAACACATACTTCTGCTAATAATCACTCTGGGCTCCGAGATACAACATACTGTGTATTCTGACACCAAACTGCTACTCACAATGATAAAGGGAGGTGAGTGTGGAAGCTAATAATGCAACTTTGGTCTGAAATAAGTCAATAAATTATAAATAAGCTTGAGAAAGATATGCTACCATAACTTCTGCTGCACACTTTCTAAAAGGTCATGACATGAGTTGTATATTACAGGCATTATGATTATTCTATGGGAATTCCTTCCTAATGCAGCAGATCTTTTTGCGTGTTTTTGTTTTTGACAGATCTAAATTTAGTTCTAAAACTTAGCTGATAAAATACTTTCCCCAAACTTAATCATTATTACAAAATACACCTTTTATTAGAGTAAATTTGAAGAATATGAACAAAGGAAATAGACAAAATGTTACTCATGATACCAGCATACTTATACAACAATATTGTGCTGTATTTTATATTTTTCTATTTTTTCATAGGTATAATTATTCTAGAAATAAAAATATTCCTGCTTGCCAATAATATATGTCTAAAGAATATTCAAATTTAAAAGCTTTCTATTGATTGGGAAATTAATGGGTTTTAATTCTCACAGGATTAGTCAGTAGCATATTAGGCATTTAGGAAATGCCATGGACTCTTCTAGCCACAAAGGTATCATAAAGTCAGCTGAGAATTTTAATCTCATTTGTGCAGCAGACATGTCCTCGATTCACCTTCATGTTGATTTCACTAGGAAACCAGCACAGAAGTTTATAAGGATTAGAAGAATTATCTTCACATGCCAAAGGCTGGTATATTTGCATTCCTTTTTAAGCAAATAGTACTCTAAAAATAGTGCATATAACAATAGATAATTACATAGATTTATTAGAATGCACTTTGTGGTTCACTGATGTTGCAGCCTATGACTATTGCAGACATCCTGTGTGAGCCATTAAGATGCTTAGATCTCATGCCAGTCAGAATGATGCTTATTAAAAAGTCTAGAAACAACAGGTGCTGGAGAGGTTGCAGAGAAATAGGAAGACTTTTACACTGTTGGTGGAATGTAAATTAGTTCAACCATTGTGGAAGACACTGTGGTGATTCCTCAAAGTTCTAAAACCAGAAATACCCTTTGACCTAGTAATTCCATGTTTAGGTATATACCCAAAGAAATATAAGTCATGCTATTATAAATACACATGCATGCCTATATTCATTGCAGTACTATTCACAATAGCAAACACATGGAATCAACCCAAATGTCCATCAGTGACACACTGGATAAAGAAACTGGTACATATGTACTATGGAATACTATGCAGCCATAAAAATGAATGAGATCTTGTCTTTTTCAGGAACATGGATAGAGCTGGAAGCCATTATTCTCAGCAAGCTAATGCAGCAACCGAAAACCAAACACCACATATTCTCACTTATAAGTGGGAGTTGAGCAATGAGAACACATGGACGTAGGGAGGGGAACAACACACATGGGGACCTGACAGGGGGATGGTTCGGGGAAAGGGAGAGCATTAGGAAAAAAATCCTAGTGCATGCTGGGCTTAATACCTAGGTGATGGGTTGATAGGTGCAGCAAACCAGCATGCCACACATTTACCTGTGTAACAAATCTGCACATTCTGCACATGTACCCTTGAACTTAAAATTTTTTCAGAGATGCTCAGATGCCATTGGATAATAGCCTCTTGCATGCTGGCCCTGTCCACTGCCCTTTATTGGCATTGCTGGCTGCTGGGGCTTTCAGACCAGATGCCCTCTTGGCTTGTGAAAGAGCTTCCTTCCCTGGTGGCATCCTTCCTGAGGGCAGTCATCATCCAACGACACTGATGGTGAGGTTAAAGAGACCAGAGCCTCTGGCCTCAAGTCAAGACAACACTAACAAGAATTATAGCTGCAGGCAGGCTGAGGCCTTTACAAATGTGTCAAAGTTCACCTTCTCCCTCAGCCCAAATGCATTTCCCTCACTCTTTAACAGATATTGCTCCCAGAGCATATCTTAATAACTTTTCTGCACATCAACTCCATCTCCGCATCTGTTTCCTGGGGAACCTTATTTAAGACATTCTTACAAAGTCATGCAATGCACTTCACTCTGTGCAACAGGCAAACCCTCCACCGTCTGCTACTGAAATCCCCCTCATCCCTCACCACTGAATGATGTGGTTAAGCTTTGTGTCCTCACCCAAATCACTTTGTGAATTGTAATCCCCAGGTTTTGAGGGAGAGACCTGGTGGGAGGTGGTTGGATTATGGGGGAAGGTTCTCCCATGCTGTTCTCATGACATTGAGGGACTTCTCACCAGATCTGGTGGTTTCATTAATGGCAGTTTCCCCTGGGCTTTTTACTCTCTTTATCTTACCTGCTGCCATGTAAGATGTGTCCACTATTCCTTTTGCCATGATTGTAAGTTTCCTGAGGCCTCCCCAGCCATGTGGAACTGAGTCAATTAAACATCTTTTGTTTATAAATTGCCAAGTCTTGGTATAGCAGTGAGAAAATGGACTAATACACTGACGTTTCTGCCTCTCACTACTTCCTTCTAGAAGGCCCTACTGACCAGCACAGTCCAAAGGGATCTCTTTCTTTTCTGAGCTCCTTCCTTGCTCACGCTTCCTTTATGTCACCTTTATGCCATTTTGTGTTCTACAATCTATGGCCTTGCTCATTCTACCAGGATTGGGTGCAACTTGAAAATGCATAATACATAGAGGCAAATTCTAAATAACACAAAGAATCAGAACCAGCGAATTAAGCATAACATTCAAAAGGCAACGTTGGGAAACAGCTGAAATATAAATCCTTCATTATAGTCGGTGGGCTTCCTCCTTACCCAGATAAAGACAGGAACAGCATCAGAGCCAGGTAACTCTTGTTATCAGAAGGAAATGCAAACACCTCCAAGCAGAAAAACACCACCATTTTGGTTGGTCAATGTTGCCAATTATTTCCTTTGGTTGGTTTCAGTGGAAATTTCTCACCTGAGAAAAGTAACGCAGAGAGAAGGAAAGAAGATATCCTAAAGGGAGTTTGTGCAGTAAATCCTGTCTCAAGGATAATGTGGTGCTTTCTTCTCTTTTCCTTTTTTTTTTTTTTTTTTTTTGAGACAAAGTCTCTCTCTGTTGCCCAGGATGGAGTGCAGGTGGCACAATGTCGGCTCCCTTCAACCGCTGCCTCCCAGGTTCAAGCGATTCTTCTGCCTCAGCTTCCCCAGTAGCTGGGATTACAGGTGTGCGCCACCGTGCCTCGCTAATTTTCCTATTTTTAGTAGAAACAGGGTTTCACCATGTTGGCCAGGCTTGTCTCAAACTCCTGGCCTCAAGTGATCTGCTTGCCTCACCCTCCCAAAGTGATAGGATTACAGACATAAGCCACCATGCCCAGCATAATGTCGCTTTTTACACAAAATTATGATGTGTTATTCATAAAAGCTGAAGAGAGCACATAATCCAACTTGGTAGAGATATGTCTCCTGTAGGCTATTGCTCAGACTTAGCCTATCCAGAATAGTCTGTGTCACCTACATGGTAGGGATGCAAATCCCAGTTCTCCCTCTTGCAGTGTGCCTAGCTGCGGTACTCATTATCTGTTTGATGTTGAATAAGTCAGTTAACCTTCCTGCTCTCCAGGATCACAGCTCATAATTGGTGACTATTGTATAGATGAACGAGTTTTTGTGTATATTGAATCATCTTAAAGACTGAGTTGGGGCCTAGCTAGCACACAGGAGAAATTCAAGACATGATAGCCAGGTTATGATTAGTCACGTATATCTTTTATTTCCATTATCATTTTGCAAACTTTTAAAATGTAGTCAATTGCAAGTTGTTTTCTCTAAGGAGAACCTGAAGTAAAACAGCTAAACTAATATTGATAAAGTAAATCCAGTCATGTTTATAGAAGTGAAATCTGGTTATTCGCATCTATTCTCAGTACTAATGTGACTTATGTTTGTGTTTGTTCTTTGTCCTACTTATCCTGTTTCTTGCCATTTCTGTTTCAGTTTCTTAAACACAATGCATTCCTGCATATTGTATAAGAACAGTCTACTAATAAAATCTAAATATATTCTATATCTGCACTCTTTCCTCACCAGCTTATGTGTTTGAACAGGTTTCTTTTAAAAACATTCAGCTTTCACAGCTGTTTCCGGTTAAAGGATGATTTGGACTGCCAAGTTTGCTTTCAGGTTAAAAAGTGAAGTCCACCCTTTTTCAGTCACTGTGTTATACCTGGGCCCAGCTCTTCTATTATCCAGCAGACATAGAAAATATAGACCTAAAATGCCCAAGATGACTCCCAGGAAGCTGCTACATTTATTTTACCTGTTTCCTGTAACTCCAAAAGAAATATGGAACCATGGGGTGAAAACTAGAAATTGACTGTCTAGCTTCTATTTTTTCTGATCCTCCAGGGCGAAGTTAATCCTGGAGTGAGACAATTAGTGAGCCAAAGTGAAGATACATCTGCAAAAACAAGTCTAGAACGCATGCTCTATTTCAATAGCATTATACATACCTCGTTGGAGTAGACCAGAATAATATTAAGCATGGGGTTAAAACAAATATTATTTACATTTATATATAATTTATTTCCTCCCCAAATTAACTTTTAGCGTTTAGGAAACTGGACTGTCATGATGAACTCACCACTGTTCTTCAACTTGGTCGGGTCAGAAAAAAACCAAGTGTTACTTTTAAAAATATGGCCAGTATGCCTGAATTGATGAGTTATGGTGTTTCTGGAAATCTTCAATATTTAAAACTTTCTCAATTTTGCATGATGGCAATGTGATTTTATACTAGCTCTTTTCTGTATAACCCATTTCATCATCATGATGCCCTATATTATGCTAGATGTTAAATAGATCAACAGTTTTCCAGAAATGTGTGTGCAATTATAGAATTCATAAAGTTTAATTGATACAGAATATGCTTACTATATACTCCTGTGAAAAAGAATTTTTTGGAACATACATAGAATAAAGGTCTTTGTTTTAAAAAGGTTGGAGATTTAGCATTTGTATTTGTGAACTAAACAATTAGCAAATGACTTAATACTCACACATACTAAATAATTCATCATATAGTTTGATTTTGTTAATAATACAATGAAACCAGTGTTTTAGGTAATGTGTAGAGTTCACTGGAAAGGAAAAAACTGAAGGCCGAGCAGCCCATTATGAGTTTCTCACGTTGGACCAGGTTGGTGTGGTTTCATCTAGGAGTGATTTAATGTAACAATAAGATAGTGTCGTTAAGAATGGAAAAAATAGCGTTCATGAAGACATTTTGGAGGGAGATTCAAAAAGCAATGAATATGTAACTCTACATACAGAAAACGGAAGCAAGATTCAAAATTGTGTGAAACTTTAACTGCGAATTATTGAAAACTAATAATGCCATTGACAGATGTGTTTGGCAGATTCTGGGGGCTGGAGACGATGAAAAGTAACTTTCCATCTGATAAAATCAACGTGACAGTAGAACATCAAAAAATTACATCAAATAGAAAATCAGGACAGGTGTATAAGACAGAGTTGAAAGCAGGAAACATCAATTTTAACGTTATGCCAAAAATAAATGTCAATCATAGAAACAGTAAATTTATTTAAATAAAAAAATTAAGATAGTAAATAAGTACTTGAAGTCATCAGAACCAAGTATTTCAGGAGAAAGCAGCACTTTGAAGGTTATAGCTAATTGCAAAGCAGAAGATAATATCCCAAAAGGAAAAGTGAACATAAGATTGTCAAGTGCTATAAAGAAGAAAATATTTCCAAGTTGAAGGCAAAGTCATAAATATTGTCCTACATGAGTATAAACAACAAAGACTCAGGAAATACTGCGTGGACATGAGATTTTTACAAGAGAACTTTAAAATTTGGCCTATGACTTTGCTTTTGCTTATTTATTTAATTATTTATTTGAGACAGTGTCCCTCTGTCACCAGGCTGGAGTGCAGTGGCACCATATCGGCTCACTGCAACTTCCGCCTCCCGGGTTCAAGCAATTCTTCTGCCTCAGCCTCCCAAGTAGCTGGGATCACAGGCACATGCCACCATGCCCGGCTGATTTTTTGTGTTTTTAGTAGAGACAGGGTTTCACTATGTTGGCCAGGCTGGTTTCGAACTCCCGACCTTGTGATCCACCCACCTTGGATTCACAAAGTGCTTGGATTACAGGTGTGAACCACCACACTCATCCGACTTTGTTTTTTTAAGTCTTGCTCCGTCACCCAGGCTGGAGTGCAGTGGTGCGATCTCGGCTCACTGCAACCTCTGCTTCCTGGGTTCAAACGAATCTCCTGCCTCAGCCTCCTGAGTAGCTGGGACTACAGGCGCCCACCACCATGCTTGGCTAAATTATTGTATTTTTAGTAGACAGGGTTTCACCATGTTAGCCAGGATTGTCTCGATCTCCTGACCTCATGATCCACCCACCTCTGCCTCCCAAAGTTCTAGGATTACAGACATGAGCCACTGCGCCTGGCCCTACTTGGCTTTAAAAAAAAAAAAACAAAGTGTGCAGTACATAGACGCTAATTTTGGGAGTGCATTTATGCTAAACTTGGAAGTGCAAAAATTGCATGCATGACACAGATGCTAATTTGGGAAGTATACAAGTTAGTTACTACTTATTTGTATGTGACCCAGTTGGGATATGACACTACAGATCAATTAATACCTGATGTGGGTGGGATAGCGCTGTAGCCAGAACACAAGGTTTCAAGTTGAATGTTGGTCAAATTCTACTTTCTCTACCGGGTAACAGTGCAATTTCTGGCAATTGTCTTCTTAGTCAATCTTATTTTCTTCTCTGAGACATGGAAATGGCAGATCCCGACTGTTAAGAGTTGTAGAGATGAATGGTGGAGTGCACAGGTTTCAGCCCATGCTTTGCTCAATCAGAAGTGTCTATTTTATTGCTACCACCAAGAATAAATGTTTAATGTAACATACGATTCATATTTCACATTTCTAAATATGGTGAGCAACGCATACATTTTTCCTTTTATGTTATGTCAATGTTAACAACCTTCAAAGCGAATCTTTAGCTGGGCAGACTATTTTTACTCTTCCTGTATTTGAAGCTGTTCATTTGCTTTTTTAAATTGGCAGCACATAAAGCATCTCGCATGTGCTGGTAACAGATGAACAGGAAAACAACTCCCTGCCACCTTCTAGCTTAGAAGAAGTAAAGGAATCTAGTTCAATTATCACAGTGCGAAATAATAACAGGATGAAGAAAGTGCGATGGAGTAAAGGAGGAGGCAGTGGTGGGGAGGAAAGGGAATGTTCCCATCAGAATGTAAACTGTTTATACTTGAGCTCTGCCTTGAAGGTGGTATTAGCTGTTAAAGGAGCAGAAGGTCAGAAGAGACACCAGGGAACCTGAGAAGAAGGCAGCATCAAAAGGTCATGTCCTGCTGCGGAACAGTGAGACGCCTGATACTGTGAGGATGTCAGGTTCATGGGTGCCAATGAGAAGTGATGGAAGGCAGGTGCAATCATGAACCCAAGACTTAGTATACCGAGCAACGAGTGTGGGCTTGTACGAAATGAAAAAGAAGAATGGAGGGGAAAATTCATAAGACACAAAGGAGTGTGTGCGCATGTGTGTGTGTGTGTGTGTGTGTGTGTGTGTGTGTGTGTGTGTGGTTTATGGTGGAAAGTAGGGAAGAGACAAAAACAGACCTTACAATATCGACAAAATGAAAGCAGACAGTGCTAGCCCCTTTTATCCTGGTCATTTAAATGTATTCCAAAATTCCTCATCATCCTCTACAATATAAGGGAAATTTTCTTTTGTGACTCAGCCCAGAACAGCAGAAAAAAGCAAATGAGCTCATCATGGGGACCCGGGCCTTACTCCTGTCTCCATTGCCTCCTGTATGTATGATCTCAGACAAGTGACTTCAGCTTTCTAAGCCTCGCTTTTCTTATCCATAAAATGTTTCCAAAAATAGCATCCATCTTTTAAGGATGGTGTGAGGGTTAAATGAGATAAAGTAATATGTATTTTCTCTTATTATGCATTGGATAAATAATAACTGTCGTTATATACCAAACCATCCATAATTGTATTTTAAAGTAATGATTTTCTTTGGCTCTGCTGTGAGCATCATCACGCCACTGGGAAGCCCTGTAATAGCGCTGGAAAGTGTGGTGCAGGATCTTTGGGAGAAAAGACATGCTGATCTGCCTAGTTCCTCAACTTGTTATTTCAGGAACTTTGCCTCCATCCTTCTTTCTCCAGGTACTGATGCCTTCTCTCCTGTTTAGTCTGCAATACCTCACTTTTGTCCTTCCACGGAGCAAATCCAAGAAGCAACTTTTTCGTTGCCCCAAAGGTAAACCACCCCTGTGTAGAGCAATCCCATTTCACCATCAGATTTTATCTGCTGGAGAGAAAATATGGCACATCAATTTTCCCCTCTCTCTTGCTCCCCTACATTTTTCTAGAATTTCACTCATGCATTTAATTCACTTCGTTTTCACTCTGTGCATCTGGGTACAGAGTTTTAACTTTGAGTTTCAAAGAGGTATTCACGTTTTAGCCCTTATAACCAAAGCCACTAGCAAAGATCTCTCCTTCATCACCCGAGGTAGTACCTAAGGTTTTATGAAACAATCAGTCACAAGTTCAGTCCATACCTATGACCTTACAGAAATTCAGAGCTTTTGTTTCATCTATTGTTCAAGAGAATAAAAAAGATTGCTCACAGAGAAATACATAAAGCAATTTCAAGCAAGGTGAAAGAGGGTTATTTTAAATGCTCATAAATGAAATTGTATTGTCAAGACAAGTACACAGTTATACACTGAGACAAAAAAATTAAGATATGATAGTACTGTTTATGATGAAGTGATTTTTTTTCTACTTCCTAGAGAAGTGGTAAGGAACTAAAGAGCAACTGAGATACATATATATGATATATACATGTGATATATATATGTGATACATGTACACACACACAGACATGAATATACATATGTTTTTGTATTAATATATACACAGTTTGCATATACATATTTAATGTAGATACTAATCAGTATTTTGTGTATACACGCATATATACAGTCGTGTATATGTATATATTCTTTGCACTTCCCCCACTCTCAGATTACATGGATCTTCCTGACTCTGGAACTAACACTTTACTGAGAAAGTGGATGATTAATTGGAAACTAAACTGCACACCAATGCACTATTTTCGGACAGAGAACATGAAACCGAAGACATCATGTGGACTCTGCATGTACGGGGCAGAGCTAGAATGCAAACGCAGAGGTCCTCAATGTCAGACACCAAGCTCCTAACTCCACAGCAGACTGACAGGGAAAATAAAATTGGTCTGTGTTTCAGAGAAAGGGTAGCTGACCATTAAAAATGTTAAAATAATTCACTGAGGGTGATAGTGGCATTTTTCACCCTTGAGGCTGCTATTTATTTATCCTGAATAAACTCTGTTTTTTATCTGTAGGTGAGATTAAGCTATTAGGATCATAAAATCTTGGAATTAAAGGGATAAAATAACTTTAGAAAGTTATCTAGCTCATGATTCCACAAAATCCAGGACACTTTTTATGCTATTTAGGGTAATGAACTACTGAGGAAATCAAATTAATTTTATAGAGATGCTCTCTTTTCCTGCCCCGCCACCCCCCCTGAGACAGAGTCTTGCTCTGTCGTCCAGGCTGGAGTGCAGTGGCGCTATCTCGGCTCACTCTCACTGCAACCTCCACTTCCTGGGTTCAAGCGATTCTCCTGCCTCAGCCTCCCAAGTAGCTGGGACTGCAGGTGCGTGCCACAATGTCTGCCTAATTTGTGTATTTTTAGTAGAGATGGGTCTTCGCCATGTTGGCCAGGCTGGTCTGGAATTCCTTACCTCAGGTGATCCACCCACCTCGGCCTCCCAAAGTGCTGGGATTACAGGCCTGAGCCACTGCTCCCAGGCAGACATGCTCTCTTTAACGATGCACATGTATATCAAACTTTACCTGGTGTGAGGAACCTCCTGAAAGATTTGATAATCTTAGCAAATAGCCACCATATAAGGGTCTGACAATCCAGGTTAAAGCCTTCCCTTAAAGTGTCAATACAGACATGGCTGTAAGCACCAACATTATGCCAGGCAATGGAGCTATCCAAATTAGTAAGACCTAGTACTGCTTCTCTGGGTGTTCACAGTCCCTTCACTAAATCCCAATATCTCATCAGCTATCAGTAGACCCTTGATACTGAAACAAGCATAAAAAAGCAACCAACGAAACATTTTATGCTAATACTACTTTTTTTTTTTTTTCCTTGGGAAGTAATTCGGTATTTACTGACAAAAGTCAAGTTTCTATTGGGAAACTCAATACACAGTTTAATCACAATGAATTTGTAATAAACTAGATTCCTTTAATTTTATTTAGATGTGTATGTCCTTGGTATTCTCTTAGTCTCATTGCTGGATCACGAACCACTCAGAATTACTTATAAAGTGAAAAAAGATCTGACCTATGCTGATAAAATTTTCAAAATATAGGAAAATCTTAACATTAAAATATAATAATGACTATGAAATTAAGAGGCATTGCCCATAAGAGTTTTAGATATTATTTAATCCAAGGTTTTCTAAACCATTTAATTGCAACACATATTTATCCTAAGGAAATTGAATCTTGATAACCCTAAACTACTTTTTAAAAAAGCAACTCAATTTTCTGTTCAGCAGTTTCTAGAGAGGTGAGTAAAAGTAAAAGTCAGGGCCGGGCATGGTGGTTCACCCTGTAATCCCAGCACTGTGGGAGGCCGAGGCGGGCGGATCACAATGTCGGGAGATCGAGACCATCGTGGCTAACACGGTGAAACCCTGTCTCTACTAAAAATACAAAAAAAATTAGCCGGGCGTGGTGGCGGGCGCCTGTAGTCCCAGCTACTCGGGAGGCTGAGGCAGGAGAATGGGGTGAACCCGGGAGGCGGAGCTTGCGGTGAGCCGAGATCGCCCACTGCACTCCAGCCTGGGCGACAGAGCGAGACTCCATCTCAAAAAAATAATAATAATTATTATTTTTTTTTCAATTAAACAAGGGTTTTATTAAACAGGCACTTGAGGGAACCATGAAGACCTTGGCTAATTTTCTATTAGTGGCGCTTGACAATCTAGAGACAAAACAAGACCCGGGATTTTGAAGTTGCATTTCTCTTTTTGCCGTAAATCCACACCCTGGCTTTCCAAATTACCAGCAAAACATCTTATGGTTTAAACAATGTGTCATACAGGCCCAGACTTACACATTTTAATGCATCTAGATGGTGTATATTATTTATGAAATATGTAATTATTAAAATTATTGCAATGAATTTCTTAAGTTGAAATTGCTAACTTGGTAAATTTATAAATTAAAAATTACTAAACTGGAATTATTAAAGTGAAACTTTTGACGCTGGTACATTCCAAGAACAGATAATTATCCTCTGTACAAGATCATTGACATTTTCCTGAATAAACAAGCATGGTTTTAGAAGTCTAGAGTAAAATAAAAATAAAATAATACACGTGCTAACCACAAGTCATCACTAATGGTTCTTGGAATTCCTTTCTCAAGAAGGGTCTTAACCTTATTTCCATGGCCAAACGGCAATACCTCTAAACACCTTCAGAATATATGAAGTGTTTACACTATCAAGGACCGCTTAGCAACTATGCTGAACATTTAAATGGCTTTTACGTTTAATGTAAGATTTTGTGATACTCCAATGTCAAACTAAAAGTAACCTTGGAAGAAATCTGTAGTAAAATTTATAAAATGAGCATATTCTCTCTAAAGATAACATTTAACCCTTTAATGAAAAAGTTTTCAGATTTGTTAAGAATATTCTAATCCATATCAATCAATAGATTTTCTTTTCTGTGATAATCTATGACTCATGACAATATTAGATGTGGCAGTGAAATTAGCAAAGCGAGTGGAGACTGCATGGGCAGGCGAGCGTGCGCTCACACACACACACACGCACACAGGCACACACACACAGTTTTGGGTCAGAACTGGTCACCGTGACAAAGGGAAAATATTAATTAATGCCAGTAGCTTAGAACTTATTAGAAGAATTGTAGTGAGTTAAGGAAGCAGAATTACTGCCCAGTGTCTGCAGCAGAGAACCTTCAGAGTAACAGGACCGGAATAACTTTGTTGAATAACTCTCCTGAAGGGGCGTATGTTCACAGTGGTGAACTCTCCCGAAGGGGCATATGTTCACAATGGTGATGCTAACACGCTACTAAATACCTATTCAATAATTAACCAGTAATTAAGTCTGTAAAAATGCATTTTACTTTGAGTATTCTTTGAATATCTGCAACTCAGGTGTGGGCTATTCACCCCCTACAAACTTGAATTTTAGACTAAAAATTTAAATTCTGGAGACATTCCAGTCAATAAATAATTTAGAATGAAAACACTATGATTTCTCCCCGTGAGTCTTCTCAGAATGCTGAACCCAATAATCCTGATGTCTGTTCTTTGATAAATACCGTTTCACGAACAGTTACAAAGAAACTAACAAGGAATGGGAACTGACGCACAGCCAGCCACACTTTCCAGAGTTTCACCCTTACTTGGGTCATAAATATGATACTGCAGCAGCAAATAAAATGTGACTTCCTTAGTTTCAGATTTAAAAAGTATTCAAAGGAGCAGAAAACCATGCTAAGAAAACAAATTTCCATATGCACACATTTCCAACTCAGATGGTGCACTCTGGCTTCTCTTGTAGAAAGGATGATGATTTGCTTGTGTGCTTTCTAAAGATTGTAATCGGTTGCTTGAATTGCTTTTCTTCTTGTTTCCATTTAAGAGAAAGGAATTTGAGCATGATGTTTATGTGCCAAGGTGATGGAGTAGAAACATGTTGTGGGTTTTCTCTGTGAGTTGGTTGGTAGCATGTCATTGTTCTTCTAAGGAAGGATTTTCATCAGTCATATTTCAACAGAGGGTGGGGGCACAGCTGAGTGCCCTGTTTTTATTTCTACTTCTACATAGAGTTTGGAAGATGGATAACTTAGTGAAACTAATACATCAGCAGAGCCAATATACGGTGTGGTAAGTAGAAGGCAGAACATATGGTAGTTTCTGCAATAAATAGTGTATTTGTCATTGATTATCCTTTGCTTAAAGCAACAACAGATATCCTGGTGCGTGTTATGACAGAAAAGAGACCTGAACAGTTGATGAATAGAGACATTTACAAATGATGCTTTGGCTGGGTTTCGATGTTTTTTTTAGCCTCTATCCCAGGCTTTACACAGTATTCGATGTGCTTGGGCCACAGGACATTGGCATCTCATTCATCTAGAGACCAGGATGATGGTAGGTGGAAAAGCCTTGTGCCACAAGGCATGCAAAATCAACAACTGAGTATAAAGCAGAAGGTTGATAATGATGCTAACTCCAGAATAAAGAGAGAAGCACAACATTCAGTGTATTTAGCAGGTGACAATATAGTCACCGTAGGAGGATCATAAATTAAGACAAATATCAGTGTAGTGATTTGCTTTGGGTTTTAAAATGTTTCTCTACTTAGGAGGGCATTTTCTCTTCTCTTTCCTGCTTAAATTTTCTCTGACATAAGTACCACCTTTTAACACACTATTGTATTGCTCTTACCAATCTTGTTAGTTGTGTGTCTCGCCATGAAAACCGTATCCTAGAATATTAACTATCATATAGCAAATTCTTCATATTTATGAAATAAATGAGAAGAGCAGGCTCCGTTCAGAGTAGAAAATAGGGCTTGTTTTCAATACTACTTATGAAAAAGGCATGTCTCAATAAAATGCTGTGTTCATTACTGAAGGTAGAAATTCTCCAAGAGACAAGAAAACAAGGACTCCTTTCCTCTCCCCCTATAAGTAAAGATTGGCCAAATCTCTTCAACCTCTTAGGAGCAGGAGCCGAAAGCACCTGCCATTCCTGTGTCGTGCAGGCAGCTCTAGCCCCAGAGGATGGTGATCCATTCTGGTGGGGAGGCCCTCCCTACTCAGTGGCTTCTCTGAACCGCCTTCTCACGAGTTCCCTGCTTGAGAAATTATTCCTGTTCTTCCCTCTCTCTAATTTGGGATGGCATTTGAATCATCAGATTCATTACACTAGAGTGTCCCACAATTCTTTTATGATCTAAGTCAATTATGCTTTTAAAGAATGTTGTTTGCAGAGTATGTCACATGCCAGGTATCACTATTTTTCTCTGAGAGAGAACCCACACAGTTATCTTTTGATGGTATGATGCCTTCAGAATGACCTCGCTGCTGTAGTGAAGGTTCTACCGGTGACTCCCACCGAGGTGGATTGTGGATTAGCCCCAGCAGCTCAGAGTATGTGCTCAGCAGCAGATGCATAAATGAACTGCATAGTTTGTGCTGCCCAGGTTGGATTGTATAATTATCCTACCCAGCTGTGGTGGACAAAATGCATGCTCGCTAGAATAGATCACATTCCTTCATTCTCACTTGGGCAAGCCCTTCGTCTTCACTGATCATGTAAAACAGACCTTTTAATTGCTCTCATCACCGATGATAAAGACACGAATCACTCATTCTTGAGGGAGCCTGATATTGTGGTGAGCAAGTCCACTTCCATTCGCAAGAAGAAAATGCTGCATTTGCCTTAAAATGAGATTTGCAGGATAATGAAAAGGACTAACGCTTAAAACCATAGCCCTTGAACCCCTGCCAAAGTGCCTACAGTCGCTATTCTGAGTGAATTCTTTCAAAAAGGGCACCAGGCTCTAAGTACGTCACCTAGAAGAAGATCTAGTCTGGCTGGAATTTGTTGGCCATACGTTTTCGGTGATTCCATGGAAAAGGGGGTTTTAGGGCGGAATTGGACAAAGAATTTTGGATGAAAAGGTGCAAAGCCCAAGAAACAGGGCCCAAAGAGGGCTTAATTTAACAGCAGGAGGAGCACAAGTGAAGTCACGGGGTTTCTGATGTGAGGGGCTGACAGTAACAAAAATTATCTTAATAAAAACTCAATTTCATAATATTTTACAGTTTAGAAGATTTTCTTTTTCTAAACCATATCTTGATTCTTAGCCTGTACTTCAAAGCGTACCGATGAGATACCAAATGGGGAAATGGTGGCTCAAAAGTTAGCTGACTTGATTGCACGGAAGTGGCTGAGCCTGGATCAAGCTCAGAAGCCCTTCTATACAGCAGAGTGTGAGATTTTCTTTGCATCTTCTTCACCCCTCATTTGTACTAGCATCTCACTGTACTTGTGGTAGAAGTTCAAAAATGCGTGTTCCTATAGATTTAAATATGTTGGAGAGTGTTACTCCATTAAAGTATGCTAAGTTAATGATAGCCCTCAGTAGCTAAGAATTGTGAAAGCTTAAAATCTGTGTTTTCTTTTTCTTTTATTTCTACTTCTCTCTACTCTCTCTCTACATTCTACTTCTCCCTCTCTCTCTCTTTATTTCTAGCATCTAAGAAATGTCTGCTACATTTCAATAAGTGAATAGTCAGATGAACAAACAAAAGCCTGAATGGGTTCTTAAAATGTTAAGTTACTCTAAGAAAGAATATATGATACCACAGTGTTAAATAGTATCTAAGAGAGCTTTCTTTCAATACTATACATAGTCATTCTTTGAGAGCTACATATTTATATTTAATACTTATTAAAGCTTAGGTGCTGTTACTAAATCATTTGTAACTAAACTGTATAGCATTTCTTTCTCTTAGTAATAAAACCAGAGTGTAATCCATTAGGCTGCAATAGTGTTTTTAATTTTCTGCCAGAGGAAAAATACAATTCTCTCTAGGACCAAAAACTGCTGAGACAACTGGATAGCTATAACTTTGTATGTATACAAAATTAAGGTTTCATTGATTAGAACTTACCTACATAAGATAAATCTAATTTTAAAAGTATGAATTTGATTTAAATGTATGGATTTTGACATGCCATTCTTACGCATTTCTCGAGATTTTATTGACCAAAAACTAAATTTATATAAAAAAGAATATATATTAGTTCAATTTAACACAAGTTTATTATGATAGGTTGATGTTTGAAACAAGTGTATGTTTTCAAATGTGTCTGATTTGAAATAGTTGAAGAACTATTTTTTAAAATGTTGATTTGGATTTTTATACATACTGAGCCATTAGAATTATGGTGAAAAAATTCAGTTCAACTTTAATGTCTGAGACTACTAAATTAGAAAAACATACTTTCTTATGGGTGTTTTATGTTTTTTACTCCTTGGAAGTTAATGAAGAAATTCTACAAGATTTCAGTGAACAAGAACCCTAGCTTCATACACTAATTAGTATAATTATCATTAAACCATGACCTGAGAAAAGCATTATGTAAAATAATATCTGACAAGGTCCAGAGACTGGTCATTTTCAAAATTGAGAATAATATTGTTAGAGTTGCTCCTATGAAAATGGCTAATTTTTGCTACCACGAACCAAAGATATTATTTTGTGTGAATTGTAAATCATTGAGGTAGCTACTCTAAATATAGACAGGTAATTCATATACCATTATCACAAAGAAAAACCTATGCTAAATAAATATAATTCCTCACTTATGGAGAGCATTTTGGGACAGTGCCGCAGACCCAGGATTGGGAAGCTGTGTCCTGCGCAGGCTAGAACCGAACTGAGAGGTTGGAGAAGAGACAATACGAAACACTGAAATGGAAAGAAGTTGTGGCTAGCACAGCACACACATCAGTAGAACTCAGGAAAGCAAAATGGAAGAAGGGAAGTTACATTAAAAAGGCAAAGTTCAAGCCCCTGAGCTGTACTTTCCAAGTGGGGACTTGCCTGTGCCCCCCGAGCCTGCAGAGGTGACCGTCAGTCAGTCCCTGTGTTTGGCCTGGACTGCGACGCTCTTTATAGGGAACCCAAAGAAATTGGCGTCCCTGAGCACCTCTGCGTATTAGCTTTTGTATTAGCTCCTGCTCATACCTGCCTTAATTGAATCATCATCAAAGCCGCATAAGAAAAACGGGGCTGCGTGTGCCAGCCTGGCGTGGATGCAGGCTCTAGAGCGTGACTTTAACACACGTTTGTTTTAGAGTCCGTCATCTCATGGAATCACTCTGGGAAGAGAGAAAGTGCTGTGGTTTATAAACTTCTAGCTTTAATCGGCTTGGCTGGATATAGGGAGCAACTAGAACTTGAGTGGGAACGGACAGAGAAAAGTGGACCGCAAGAAGCTTGCTTTTGCGATAAAGAGGTTTTCATAGCACCTGAGGGTATCGAAGGCCTCTCAAGTGTAATAGGCAAAACTTCAAGGTCTGTACCTAAAATTTATAGTTCAGAGAAAATCTCCTTTATACATCCAGAAGTGGTTAGAGCAGAAGAAAGCTTTGACTCAAATTAACTAAACTCACAAATGATTAAGGTGTAAATTGGAAAAGCAACTTGTAAAATTTGAATAGCGTTTGACTATCCAGGGAATGACCCAATAATCAGGATAGCCACTCTCTGTGGTTAATGACGGTTGACTCTGGCTTGGAAAGAACATCATGAACTCAAAGCAGGAGGTTCATGGTACTTGACGCTCCGGTGTTTCTGACCGGCCCGTGAGAAGCGCTCTACTCTGCTCATTCTTGACACACGTTCATTTTTTGCTTTGAAGATACCACTCCCTGTGTTTCATGATGATAATTTCCATCCTGTGAACGTTTTTTGTTGGGCTGTTTGGTTTTTGTCCATTTAGTGTTCAGAATTGTAATGGAAATATACTGACCTGAGGATATTTCTTGTTTAGAATTTGGTCCTTCATCAAATTTTTCACACATTTTAAAATAGATTATGTCTAAAATAATGTGACCTCCTCTATCAAAAGTTTGGCTATTTTTCTTGAAATAGATTATGTCTAAAAGAATGTGATCTCCTCTGTTAAAAGTTTGGTTATTTTTCTTGGTATATTTATTTTCAGATTATATACTGACTCTTAGCAGAGCCAATTTTAATGTAATAATTAATGTAATAAAATACAAACAAAAACACTTAGAAAATAGCTGTAATTCTCCAAACACAGTGAAGCATGTGGTTGACAGTTGACCATGTTTCTCCTTTAGTTGTAGATAATGCACTTTTGGTATCATTTATACATTTTTACAATTTATTTTCAGATTTTTTTTAACCGTTCTGATAGACATGTCTCTTATAAACAGACCATTAAGTTAGAATTGTAACTGCAATTTGATATATAAAAATGCTCTACAGAAAAATTTTCTGCGATTTATATAATTGGGCTTTTAGCATTTCTGACATGGCATTTAATAGACCATACATTTGTTTTTCTTTCTGCCACTTGCCATTTTCACATTTGCATCTTTAATAAAACCAACCTGATTGTCAACACTGAAAAATGCTCCATGTTAACACTACCTGCTTTTGGATTCCAAGCATAATAGAAGCAGTATTAATAAAAGGAATTCAACTTACAAATAATAATGGCTAAATAAAAAAACATTTCTCTTACATGCTCAGATTTTTAATTTAAATAATATATTTATAAAATATTTTCTATGTACATGTGTGTATATGTATGTGTGCGTGTATGTGAATGACTAAAAGTAAACACCAAATACCTCTAATCTTAGTCATAAGAAAAATGACCAGAGTAGGACATTTATTTTTAAAACAGCAGTCTTAAATTTCTCATGATACAGTCGGTGGCTTAGAGATGTGCTTCTCAAAATTCAGCCTTGGTCAGGTGCAGTGGCTCATGCCTATAATCTCAGCACTTTGGGAGGCCGAGGCGGGTGGATCATGAGGTCAGGAGATCGAGACCATCCTGGCTAACAAGGTGAAACCCCGTCTCTACTAAAAATACAAAAAATTAGCCGGGCGTGGTGGCGGGCGCCTGTAGTCCCAGCTACTCGGGAGGCTGAGGCAGGAGAATGGCGTGAACCCGGGAAGCGGAGCTTGCAGTGAGCCGAGATTGCGCCACTGCACTCCAGCCTGGGCGACAGAGAGAGACTCCGTCTCAAAAAAAAAAAAAAAAAAAAAAAAAAAAAAAAAAAAAAAAAAAAAAAAGTGGGTGTGGTGGTGCGTGCGGACCTATAGTCCCAGCTTCTCTGGAGGCTAAGATGGGAAGATTCCTTGAGCCCAGGAAGTCGAAGCTGCAGTGAGCTGTGATCATGCTACTGTACTCCAGCCTGGGTGACAGAGTGAGATCCTGTCTCAAAAACAAGGATAACACCCAAACTCCTTAAAGTGTACATGAATCACCAGGGCACTGTTTAGAAGCAGATTTGCATCCTGCAGGTCTGGGTTGGGGCCTGAGACTCTCCACTTCTAACAAGCTACTATGTCAGGGATGTGGGAACCTGGAGTAGTGAAGACAATGGAAAAGATGTGATTTACTGAACGGATCTTAAATTCCTAAGTAAACTCGTGTGTGTTCTTGTCATCCTACTGTTCCTCAAAGGTCCTGTTGTCCAAGCCTCGAGACACATGTTAAGATCTAAAACCTCCAGTTCATTCTTCTTATTATTCAAAACATGCAATTATTTTTGTTTTGATCATGCTTACGGATTCTACTATAATATTTGTGTATGTTTATGAAAGACATAAATATTACATATTTCAACATTTAAAAATAAAAACAGTTATTTCCTGGTCATTTAGTATTTAATCTTGTGGCAAGAATAATAGTGTCCTTTCAATATGCTGAATTAGAATAATGTAGACATAGTATGGTCTGAGAGAAAAATTCCCTGTTTTTAAAATGCAGTAAGGATCTTCATTGTGATATAATAAATTTTCACAAAGATGCTCTTCTTTAAGCCTAATTAGTAAAAGTTAAGTGAACTGCACGTGTGGCACTAGGGTCTTCTGTTGAAATGCCTCTGACACTTACATAAGTGTCTAGTGTGCTTGAAAAAGAAGGGTGTACACATTTGCTCTGGAAAAGAGGAGATACTAGGATGGATCTTGTGAGCCAATTTAATATTTTCATTCCTTAAAGCATAAGGATTAAGAAGAAAATTGATTAAAGCAATTACTAGGACTTTCGGTTCTAGTAAATTATTTTTTATGTGTCTTCCTGTTAATTTTTATTATAAGAAATAATTATGTTTTTAATATATGTTAATAAGTGTTTTTTGTTTTGAAACTTTAAAGTCAGGAAAGTTAGCTGTTGTGGAAAAAAGGAGCATGATGTCTCAGGGAAGAAGTTCGTTAAAGTTCGTGTTCTTTAAGATTCATCCTGAAACTTCAGTAGGATATCCTATACCTGTGCTTTGAAAATATACCTAAGAGAAGAGGTAGAACATTTATTTTGAGACAGGATCTTGCTCTATTGCCCATGCTAGAGTGCAGAGATGGCTCACTTCAACCTCACCCTCCTTGAGTAGATTCTCATCCTCTTAGTGAAAAGCCAGAGAGCTGCACATACTCCTCGTAGATGTGTCTTCCACAACATTTCATCAATTGGTGCTTGTTACGCTATCTGAGACCATAATAAAAAATGATTTAAAATACCTTTTTCACATGAGTCTTATCCATATTTGAAGACAGAAAGAAAATTTCTGTCATTTACCATTGCACTTTCCTCTAAACACATCCCAGCCTGTCTCTACCCTAGGATTGCATTCAGTGTTGCAGAAACAGAGTAAGCAAGAAAAAAATAGAGGCTGCTATTTCCTCATTCTAATACTGTATTTCTACAATAAATCCTTGGATTTAAATGGCTTTTTCTGTTAGCTATATCACAACATTAGTAAAATGTAAGACCCTATAATAAAGACCTTCAAAAATACAGACTATTACTAATATTATTATGTCAGAAATTGCACATAGAGATTCTAAGATTCCACTTGTTCCTGGGGTGAAAACAATAAGATAATGTGTTCGTCTCAGGGTGCTCAGGCTCTCATTGCACAGTCATCCCTGCAGGGAGGGAATTATGATGGAGATACAGATAAAATGGCAGTAGAGACAGAGAGCCATCAGATTCTGCTTGGAGTTCTCAGAGATCATTCCCAGAGCTGTGGCATTCCTCTGCCAGGATGCTGAAGCTCAGGGTGGGAAAGGAAGATGCCTGGGCAGGCGGCTGGCCAGTCAGCTATTTCCCTAGCTCAGACTATGGAGCTTAAGTTGCTGCAGAGAGCAACTGAAGAAGGGAGGGTGGAGAAACGGCTGTCAATGCTGAGTTTTAGAAAGATCCCTCTGGGAAGAGTAGGAACGGTGGATGGGGGCCAGACATGGAAAGATCACAAAGGAGGCTGTTGCAGCAGGTAAGAAAAAGGACTCCAAAGAGAGGGACTGGAGAATCTTTGTGGGAAGGGATAGGGAGCAAAGTACCACCACGAGCTCCTAGTAAAGTGCTAGACACAAAATGCTAGACAAAAAGTGATAGACACAAAGTGTGGACTGTCCGCCTGTGGCTTCCTGTGTTAATGCCATGATAACCACTGAGCATGTGGGTTTCTCGGACCCAAAGGAGACCTGTTCTCATTTAGAGTCAAAAGATCTTCTGGAGCTTATTATGATTTTCTTTAAGTTATTATCATTGAGTCACAGCACAGAAAAGTTTTGTTACTTCATCTATCATTACAACAAATTCAATTAGATAATATTCACATGACCTTTTCTCTTTATATTGTAGAGAGTTGGGAGGTATCAGATATAAGGCCACTAAATAGGGAATATGACTGAGCTGAACATTTGTGAAGTTTACAGTAAGGTAAAATTCCTCCATAAAATATCTAGTTCTGTCAACTATGGCTATGCTCTGTTAATCTGTAGGAGTTCCAAGTGAAATTGCTGCATTGCTATATTTACAGAGCTGAACTTGGCAGGCTCAACAACATAGGATTGCTTTAATAGATAGAATTATTGAACAAATACACGGGATCTAAAATGAGCTATTAGGAAGTAAAGTGTGTGTATGCGTGTGTGTATGTTCACATGTATGTGTGTGTGCACGTGTGTATGTTCACATGTATGTGTGTGTGCACATGTGTGTGTTTAAAAAGAATATATCAGTTACTCACACTACATTCCTTTAACTTTTAACTTGTTTTAGCATGGAAGACTTAAGATTATTTTCCCAAGAGAAGGTATATTATTCAAGCCCTTCAAAATTTTGGACATTGCCTTCTAACACATACACACACACACACACACAAACACACAGAATTTTAAGTATAATAGATGACTATATGTAGTTCCTAAATAAGCAACCTGTGTATTTTTTCTATTCTCCATCTGTAGTTGAACTCAGACAGGGGCATCCATCTTATTTGTTTATTGTATCAAGCTTAATCCTGTATTCAGAAATGCATACCATTAATCATTATGATACAGCAAATTTAATTAATATATCAATGAAAATTTATATAATATACTGATTTTTTTTACTTTGTCAAAAAATGACAGAAACGATGCTGTTGGAAAATGTAATTATATTTAAAATACAGATGCTAGATGGTGATATAGTTAGGCTTTGTGTCCCCATTCAAGTCTTATCTAGAATTGTAGTTCCCCTGTTATGGGAGTGGCCAGGTGGATGTCATTGAATCATGGAGGTGATTTTCCCCATCCTGTTCTCCTGATAGCAAGTTTGTTCTCATGAGATCTGATGGTTTTATAAGGGGCTTTTCCCCCTTCGCTCAGCCCTTCTCCTTCTGCCACCATTTGAAAAACATGTTTGCTGCCCTTTTGCTACGATTGAAAGTTTTCTGAGGCCTCTTCGCCCATGCTGAAATGTTAGTCAATTAAGATGTTTCCTCTGTAAATAACCCATTCTCAAGCAGTTGTTTATAGCAGCGTGAAAATGAACTAATACAGATGGATAAATATTTGACTGTAGGGACATTCTTTTTTAATAAAAACGGACTATTTGAAAGTCTATCAAACCAAATAAACTAACCTGATATTCTGTTTAATTCTGTTTGAGACCTTGCACAGAAAACTGTGTGTGTCTTTACTGTTGTCCCATTCACCTGGTGTTGGCATGTAATCTTATCTTTGTTTTTACTATTACCACTTTTCTTATTCTCTCTCATTCTCCAAGTTACATGTGGAGAAAGGATATGCTATCATTACTTTGCTTCAATGGCAGGCTGTTACCTGAAAATTAACATTTCATAATTTACTTTCTCGCCTTTCCTTCAAACAAATTTTGCTATCAATTTCCTTATTATCTGGGATTAACTTTGTTGTTGTGGGTTGCAATATTTGACTCCTCCTCCCTTTCCTACCATATGCTGCCCATTACTTTAGATGCTACCATTGTCCAAAGAACTATTTGTTTCTATGTCTTCTCTGGCCTTTCTATTGCCTTTGCATTGATTTAAGCCATTACCTATTGCTTAGGTACTTCAGCAGCCGAATTAAATGATTTATTCCTTGCATTCATCCAACCTGTCTCTTTTTCTTTTATCTCAACCATTTGGTAAAAAATGTGTAAAATATAGTGCTAGTATAAAGATAGAGATGAAGAAGGTGAGTCTTTGCTGGCAATAACTTCCGTGTCTATAAGGGAAATCATCAATCATGTGTCTGGTAATGATGTTTTATGTTTTTTTTTAATTGTTATTTTAACTTCAGGGGTACAGGTGCAGGTTTGTTAAACAGGTAAATTTTTGTTATGGCAATTTGTGGTACAGATTATCTCATCACCCAGATATTAAACCTAGTACCCATTAGTTATTTTTTTTTTCTGACTCTCTCTCTCCTCCAACCCTCCACCCTTTGAAAGATCCCAGGGTGTGTTGTTCCTCCCCATGTCTCCATGTGTTCTTATCAGTTAGCTCCCACTTATAAGTGAGAACGTGCACTATTTGGTTTTCTGTTCCCGTGTTAGTTTGCTAAAGATAATGGCCTCCAGTTCCATCCATGTCCCTGCAGAGGACATGATCTCATTCTTTTTTTGTGGCTGCATAATATTCCATGGTATGGATGTACCACATTTTCTTTATTCAGTCTATCATTGATGGGCATGTAGGTTGATTACATGTCTTTTCTTTTGTGAATCATGCTGCAATAAACTTACATGTGCATATGTCTTTATGATAGAATGTTAAATGCAAAAATCAAGCTATAAAGAAGCAGCCATGAGAGAATAAATAATGGAATGGTTTGCTGTGACTGAGCCCCAGGAATTATTACAAAGAGGATGATGATGACAGCTGATAACATTTACTGAACGCTTACATACCAGCTCTGCATTAGGTAGGAGCTATTTTCTTACCCCACAAATCAGACAGCACAGTGGGGAAGTGAAGGCACTTGTTTATACAAAAGTGTTAGAGTGGGGACACAAACATGAAACCTGCTTCCAAAGTTTGCAGTATACCATTTTCTCCCAGTAACTTTTTTTCTTAAATTATTCTTTTTCCTGCGATTTATCTTCTCAAAAGTTATGCATAAAAATCATTCCTTTTGATAATTAGGTGTCACTGCCTTTCCCTGCCTTTTAGCTCCAGTACAATATGTGCAAACCCATTTTCCTAGATTGAGTGTTCACCTTCCCTGGGGTTTTCCCGCAGCTGTCATGCTGTCATGGCCGCAGTGTATGCTTGAGTATCTGAGTTCTGACTTCTTTAGTTTTTCTTGTATTTGCCCACCTGAGGGGCCTGCTGCTTCTCTCTGTTCATGCAAATTCATTCACCAATTTCTAAATCATTGCTCTCTCTCTCTCTCCTGGAATCTTCTTGGCACCTCCAACCATTGTGATCTCCTTATTATCTGAATATCTCCAAGAATAATCAACTACCTAAATTTTCCTGGATACACAACAGAGTGTGCAGTGACCTGAAGAAAATAAAAAGTGTGAGAACTTTTACGTCTCTTTTTAAATTTTTTACAGCATTTTTCCCTGTCCTGCACAGATAATTAAACATAGAGAAGAAGTTAATATTTGAAAGCATTAGGGTGACAGAATGAGTTAATCCAGTAGAAGAAACACCTCACAGCTCGTGAGAAACAAAGCTTTCCAATGAAAATCAGGCATATTCATGAAGGCTAACACAGGGCAATACAAATGTCCATAATAGCCTGAGTGTCTCCAGCAGCTCCATAAAAATGTAAGAAAATCAAGCTATGAACTCAGTTCAGGAAAGTGTTAAATAGGATAACATTTTTATGTTGCAACCGGTGGCTACTTATTACCTGCTCATCAGTAAATCTCTAGTAAAGCAGTAGCGTGTTGTATGTAAATCTTGGACCCTGGAATCAGAAAGGCCTCAGTTCAGATTCCAGAACCACCATTGAAGATCTAGGCAGCCTTGGAAAAATTCCTCTAAAATTCAAATCCTCGGCTGACAACTAGGAAGACTAACAGTCCTTTTCTCTTATTAGGGAGATATTAGGGAGATAAAAGCAAGAAGATGTCAAGTGTTCAAATAAGTGTCTGGCACATGGAAGACATCAGTGCGTGCTAGCTTCTATTAGTCTTCTCATCATCATTGCTAGTAGTATTATATTTAGTAATTGTCTTTCACTTCTTTTCTTAGCTGTATGTGGGCTTCTAGGGAAGAGACCTTAAAAAGGTGAATTATTCTGACCTTTAATGTAAGTTGCATTAAAATGTTGCATAAAGTTCAATGTTTGAAAGGAAATCTGTCGTCCTACAACACTTGCAGATCTACGTAATAATCCTCTCCCTTACTGAAAAAAGAAGGTTATTTGGGGCAGATAAATTGATGAGAGAAAGACAATGGGCTTGGCAACAGAAAATCCAGGTTTAGATCCTGGCTTGGTAACTTGGTAGCTGGCATTGGAGATGTGGTTTAAAAAGCTAGTGAAATCTAAATGAGAAGACCTTAGGCTTTTTCAGTGCTGAGATGACTCAAGTATCCTCTCGCATTTGGTATTAGCAATAAAGGTTCTGAAAGAGAAGGGGGCATTCCTCATTGGTGAGGGAGCATTACCTCATATGTATAAAAAGATCCTGAATACCAGCTCCAAAATACCTTTTGCTCTTCCCTGCGGAAACTTTCCCAAATTTTAACGAGCAGCAATTTGCTTCTACTGAACTGACTTGTTCTCCATCAATTTTGATGTGATTTCAAACAACCCGAGCACTTCTCAGCAACATCTTATAACATCCATATGGAAACTTTCCCAGAATCCCAGGCCATAACGAGTAGTTTGCTAAAGCCAGACCTCCTAGGAGAAGGAAATACTGTGGCCAGCCTGCTGCTGGCTGGGGTAAACACACATGGAATCTTCACCAAGGAGAGTTCAGTCCACAGAGCCAAGACTGAAAATACCCAGGTCCTTGAGAGGTCTTAAAAATGAGAGTAAAGATGGCATGAGCAGAACATCTTCAAAGAAGTAGCCAATAATTTATTTGCCTATGAAAACAATAGATGTATCTTTTGCTTGAACGGCCCACTCATGTCAAATGGGTAAGAGCTAAGAATCATTGTTAAAATAAAAAAAGTATTTCCAGTACCTAAAAATATAATGTTATACAGTATAGTTGTATTTTGTTAAACAGCATATAATTTAATACCCAGCATTTACTTATACTTCGCTACCAAATACGTTTCTAAATCTTCAACAGTTATTATTTTGTAGAAATAAAAAAATCTTAGAGCTTCTGGCCACACAAGAAAAGTTATTAGTCACAGAATTCCTATTCAACTTTTCACCTTTTTTTTTCAGGGACTCACTAAACAAAAGAAAAATTGCACAAACATGCATAGAACACTCAGAGGAAGCTCTAAATAACTATATAATAAGCTATACTGTGAAATTCACATCCATAAACAATAATTTGCTTTTTTAGTACTGCTCAATATATCACATTTTTTAAAAGGATTTAATAGATTTCTTGAAAGCTAGAAAATCAAAACACATCCTTATACCATGCAGGGGAATTTTCCAGGTAAACATATTTAAATGTCCCAGTACAAGCTCTATTATATTTCAATAGAGCTTGTAAATGTAAATGAAAATTTTGATAAAAATAAACTCTTTTGATGTTTATCAATGCAATAAAAAATAACTTGTCACCTCAGTTTCTCCAAATATGTTAAGATATTCTTCAAAATATTTTTGTAAGAAGGACTTCTTTCTTTGATAAGAGAATCTTCACTTCACATGCATAGGGGCATAATTCTAACTTCATACAGCCTCTTGCTAATTACCATAAATGCTATCCTTGTCTGTTTTTTTCCAGAATTCAAAAAGCTACCCAGGTCAATTTCAGAAATAGAAATAAATTGACTTCTTGTAATGGTCAGTGATAATAAAATAAGGCAGTTTTCCATAATTTAGTAGTAGTCATGAAGGATTTTGTCGTTGTTGTTAAGTTTGTTTCTTTGTTTACCAGTTTTACTTTCATGGGTTCCTACATACTTCTTTGTTAAGTCATAGATAGGAGAAAGGAAAAATAGGTAGTCAGTGAACAAAATACCTGTTCAGATGTGTTAAAAATGCAGTGTAGACTATTGGATAAAAATGCTTTCCAGGCCTTTGTTGAAACATGTAAGTTATTTAACGTCTTACACCACATAGCTTTGTCAGTTTAAATGGGCAATGCACTATCTATCTTCCTTGTTGCACCATTGAGAGGATTATGTGTAAAACTGGCAGTCCTGTAATAGATTTTAGTAGACATTAGCTCCTTCTCCGACACCTACCTTCCCTCTATGTCTGTTTCCTTCTTTCCAAGATATGGTTATTCTGGGCATGAGTCACTATAACCTGCTAGGGTAAAAGGCTCTTGTTAGAGTTAGGGTCATTGGCATGGCTAATTTGTGCTTGCTTTGAGGGCAACATTTTTAGTCATTTATTTTTCCTTCTGCATATTGTTGATGTTTCTCAAATACTAGGGTTCAGGAAATGAACTTTTTGAATTAGTCTGTTTTGGAATGTAATGTTCAACATGGTTTCGCTTTTTTCAGTACTTGGTAGACATTGACTGAATAAATGAATGAAGGAAATGAAGGAATGAATGGTTGCCTTCTATTCTAATTTGCTTTAATATCAGCATTTTAAATACCAACCTCGGTCTTTTTTCTAGTTATTTTTCATTTGGGGATTTTTTTTTTTCCAAAGAAACCGTGCAAATGAAAGAGGAGCGTAGCCCTAGAGATTTGTGCTGAGGTACAAATGCACCTGTTCCCTCCTTCTCCGCCCTTGCTGCCTCCCGATCTCCTCTGCCATCCCAGCAGGCTGGACATGTTTTAGGGCCCATATAAATGCTTGCTAAATGAATGAGTGTGGATGTCAACTAGCCTGCAAAGAAGTTCCAAGCTCATTTACTGCCTGGAGTTACTAAATCCTGGAGGATTTGGGCACAATTAGAGCTATAAAATGCCTGCTTAGTCTTTATCAAGCCAAGGGTTAAAAACGATGTAAACTACAAGGGAAGTCTGCTTAGTCAGAGCAAGGATACAGCTGGGGCAGATGTGTGGCTGCCCAGATGAGCTCACGATTCCCAGGGGCCTTGATTTAGTGTCTTCTGCTGTCTGGGGTGGTCATGAAAGCAGTGCTTCTCTGACAGGTTGCTTTCCATTAGTACAAATAAAATTCAATTGCATTGCAAGACTGGAATTTGGCAAAGTTACTCGAAAAGTAATCGATGGTGAAAATGAAGCCCTTGTAAGTAATTCTTGTTCTTAAGCACTTGTGAGTGAGAATAAATGCTTGGATTCTGCATGTCCAGAGTGAGAATCTCAGGGGAAAAACACTACACACACACACACACACACACACACACACACACACACGCAGAAGAAATTTAAATCTATTAACTCTTCAGGTGTCTTAATTTAACATTAAGGTTTCTAGAATCTAGCAGAGTGTCTTTCAATTACACCATATGCAGTTTGTTAGAGTAGAAAGAGTTCTACCCATGGGGTCTGATACATCTGAGTTCTTGTCTGCGGTCTGCTACCGAACGCTTTTGCACACTGGGTCCTGGGAACATTATTAGAAGCCTCTGAATCTCAGACTTGCCATCTGTGAAATGAAGATAAGGATGCGGGACTGTTGGAAAGATTAGCAAGAGAGATGTAAAGCTACGGGCATGGGGGAGGCATGCAGTCAACACTGGCTCCTCAGTCTTCTCGTTTTTTCTCTCCTCCTTCTCATAACGCTGGCATTCTTGTTAATACTGCTGCTGTTGTGATCGTTCTCACTATTATTATTTTTATCTTTGGCCCTATAAGAATGTAATATTAGAAGAGACAGTTAGAATAAAAATACAGTACTAAAGCCCATGTGAGAAGACAATATACACAATAAGAAAAACACTGTGAGTTGTTCGCCCAACCCTAAATAAATAGAGTAGGTGGTAGAAGCCAGCATCACTTCCCAAACTACTAGAGTAACTGCTGTGGCTGCTGTTCCTGGGTCCTCGTGAACCCATTGGAGCTTTGAAACAGTGCTAGTCTTCAGTTTCCAAATGATACTCATGCAAAGTGTGCATTCCCACCTTTCTCCTGGAGTGCAGGGATGGGTTGATTTTTATTCAGTTTTATTCCTCACACTCCTCAAAATATTCAATAAACATGTATTTAATAATTAATGAACAAAAGAACAAATAGATAAATGGAAAGTTATGACATCATATATCTGAATGAATATTTGCTCCTTTCCAAGGCAAGTTGTTTCAAGTTGAAATCATAAATTATAAATGACCAAGATACTCCAATACGGAAAAATATGAAAAGTACTTGCACAGGTGGGGGAATGTGTCACATGCAGCTTGCTCCAGTCCCTGAATGGCCGGTAAGCTTATGAGGTGGGAGCAAAAACTGCTGATTCCAAAGACGGATCCCATGAGGAAGGTGGCCTCTAACCAAGACAAAAGCAGGTTGAGGTGGGCATCTTGTGTGGAGGCTGAGTGGGAAAGGACTGATTCTCGCTTCCAAACAGTAGTGGAATTTCTCTTTAACTTTCAGTTACAGCTCGGAAAGTTAAATGCTACTCGAAGCCATCTCATGGTTTCTCATATGGGCAAATCAAAAGCAGGTTACAGCTGGTAATGGTCTCTCTCAGCAGGAGTCAAGACCCACAGACCCTCCATACTCTTCATTCGTTAGCGTCTTGGGCCTAGAACTTTAAAACCATGACATAGAACTCCCAAGCCTTCCTAAATGAGTAAAATCACCCCAATAGGCAGGAACACTGGCCCTGGTTGCCTCAGGAATGACTGGAAACAAAGCACGGTTTAGTCACAGGAAAGCCTTTCTCAAGGGAGACATTTCTCGTTACGGCTCTTATTTCTTTAGATAAAGCATTATGCACAAAAACCAAGAAAATCAGCAACTTCTCCGTCTCTATTCATTTATTCATTTCCTTTATTCTTTTTTTTTTTATTTGTTTTTTTGAAATGGAGTCTCGCTCTGTCGCCCAGGCTGGAGTGCAGTGGCACGATCTCTCCTCACTGCAAGCTCCGCTTCCCGGGTTCACACCATTCTCCTGTCTCAGCCTCCCGAGTAGCTGGGACTACAGGCGCCCGCCACCACGCCCGGCTAATTTTTTTGTATTTTTAGTAGAGACGGAGTTTCACCGTGTTAGCCAGGATGGTCTCCATCTCCTGACCTCGTGATCCGCCTGCCTCAGCCTCCCAAAGTGCTGGGATTACAGGTGTGAGCCACTGCTCCTGGCCATTTTCTTTATTCTTAAATCTGATTATTCTTTGAATGACCCCACCTAACTCAACTACTTTTTATTCCCATATTTACAAATTTAGTTTGAATATGTTTTCATCTTTCAAGGGCTTTCTATATAGCCTGCAACATTTCTTTGAACTGAATTTGTCTTTGATTAATGAACTGTCTTCACAGTTGTTCTGAGTTCCCTGAACATAAAAAAGTATATATATATATGTTTTGTTTTGTTTTGTTTTGTTTTGTTTTCTTCTGTCTCCCTCTTTTCCATCCCTTTCTTTTTCCACACTGAGACCATGCTTTGCATTCTGGGAATCTCTCCAAGTACTTCTCAATGCTTCTAAGTGCGGAGACGAAAAGGGGTAATAAAGATGTCATACAATTTATTTTGTTCTCTGGCCATTCTGAGAGGAGTTAAAACATTAACATGGGAGCAGGTGTGCTCTGAATCACGAGTTTCAGAATCGGGAGAGGAGAAGTGATTTGTCCCGTGTTTAGGCTGCAGTGTGTGCGCACAAGTCATTCCATGGAAAGGATGAAAATCAAAACTCCCGCTGAAGTTTCAGATGAGGTTCCTATCACCTTAGGAATTCAAAAGAAAGATTAGGACTTAGGAGTATCTTTGCTTTTACTGTGATTGCAATGGAAAACTTTTATTTCATTATTGATTATACATAGATCCATGTGTTAAGTTGTTTATGAGATCCTTCCCTACAGTTTTATAGGAACTTTGAGTTGTAAGCACAGCTTTGAAAAGCCACTGGAACTTTCAAACAACAGCTAGTCTTCTGTTGCCAAATAGATACTCATGCAAAGTTTGCATTCCCCCCTTTCTCACCTGCTCACAGATTAACGTCTTTTGTTTTTTTATATGTTTCTCTAGCAATATCGAAATTTGCCTAATGCATCATTCTCAACAGCATAAAAATGCATTATGTGTATTTCATTCACCTTAAAGAAAACTTTTGTGTGACTCACTTTTCCTTTCAGCTATTGATCATTTCTCTGCTCCCCTCTGCCGCAAATCTCTTTGAAGAAGTTGTGGATACTTTATTTTTCCCCTTTTTTCATTTCTTCCAATTCTCTCTTGAACCTACTGCAATCAGTTACTGTCTTCAGAATTTCCACACCAACAAAACACCTTTGTGTGGATCATCGATGACTGCATTTCCGAATATAATGATCGGGTTTTTATTCTTATTTTCTTTCCTCGTCAGCATAATTTTCTGTGATAATGCCCTCTTTATTTAAACAGCATTTTTATTTGTTTCCTGAGACCTCTGATTTTTCTCCCGTCTCATTAGCCTGTCCTTGTGTTCTTTGTTTAGTCTTCCTCCTTGTCCTGGTTTCAGATATGGAAATAATTTAGGGCTGAACATCCAAGTGTTTCCTGTCTATATTCAGGTCATCAGTGAATTTATCTCTTTCCGTCTGTATACTAACGCCTTCTAGATTTATATCACCACAGTCTCCCTCCTCTAAAATGCAGCTGTCCATCTCTATCTCCACATGGACGTCTGGCAGGTTACCTTAACGTTGTAATGCTCAAAGACAAATTCCTTCTTTCTCCCTCCAATAATTCTCCCCTTCCCCTCTTTTATTAATCTCAGTAGATGCCAGCTTTTTGTTTCGAGGTGTTTTGAACTAAAGGAGTTTGAGTTTTTTAGGTGGCAGCAGACATCTGGTTATTTTTTTTTTCAGCAGACATTTAGAAATATTAATTGAGCATCTACTGAAATACGATCACAAATAGAAATATGTAAAACAATGTGGAAGCATTATCCACTTAAGCAATATTAACTAGTTAAGATTCTCTAACATACATGGGTCTTTGAATTTTATTTGGAATAGGAAGGACATGTGTTAAATGGTATCAGTAACAGAGCTGAATAAAGACATGAAGAGCTCCAAATAAGCTAAAGATTGGGAGATTATTTATTTCACCTAGTAAATAGTCGCTGAGAACCTGCTACATGGCAGCACTCTGCTGTGCAATATACGTTCAATTGGTAACAAGACTGAAATGCTTCTTACCCTCAGGAATTTATAGTCTCCAAACTAAACTCCCCTAAATACGTCCCTTATATCATGTAATGAGGACCAAATTACTTAAGCAAATGAGCATTTTTAAAAAGAGAACCACTAAAATATATAAACACCTAATATTAAAATTTTATTTCAACCCAAATCATATACATGCATTTTACTTCATATCATTAGGTGTAGGATCACACTTATATATACCAAATATATATATAAATATACGAATATATAAATGCCAAATAAATATATATATAAAATATATATATTTGATATATAGGTATGATCTTATGTCTAAATATATACACCAAATATACCAAATGTACATATTTACCTACAAACATATACATTCTACATCTCTCTATATATAACAATAAACCAAAAAAATAGAAAAAATATATATATATTTTGTATATAAATATATATTTTGTATATATATACATATATATTTTGTATATATATACATATATATATTTTGTATATATATATATTAGATGTATTTGGTATATATATATATGTGGTATAGGTGGGTACATATTGGTGATATAAGCTAAATATATATCCAATATGTATATATAATAGATATATATATCCCAAACATATACATGTACCAAACATATATATTCCAAATTTAGCACCTGGAAGCAGAGAGCAGCCCTTAACTGAGATTCAGAGAAGAAAAAGAGGAAAGAGGAAGATTACTGGCAGAACACAGGAATTTGCCTTTGCAAGTTATTTCCAGGTGACTAGTAGAGCTGGTCCCCGTGGATTTCAAGTGGGAACCAGATCACGGAAATATAAACTTGGAAGTCATTAACAGCTAGAAGACGTTAGGTAAGAAAATAAATCTGCATAGTGGAGTTCTGCACCATTTTTCTTTGCAAAACACACCCAGAAGGCATTATTTCACTTGCTTTTTGAAAGTGCCAAATCATTCTCTCTCTTTATTGTTTTCCCCAGTCTTTTAGAACTATCTTACGCATAATTCCAGGGACTGACTTATGGGTAGTGCACTTATGGAGTTTTCCAAAGCTTTCAATGGAGAGCATTAGTGTTTTTGTGAACATTTTATTTCATGGTCTTTGTTCATGGGTTTCTCAAACACTTAATTAAATTACTTAATTATTGTTACAGACTTCACCGGTAGACATTAACTGGTTTAATGTGAAAACAGAAATGCTTGGGTGCCCTGCTGAGTGGACTCTTCATCATTGATCAGTCCTTTCTCAGAGAGAATGGAGAGCTACTGGCCTACGGTGGATTGAGAGCGAAGTGTCCCCGCAGAAGTTACATTCAGCTGCAGAAGGGCCTCAGCTTCCTCACCCTACTCAGCCGGTAGAAAGCCCTGACATCAATCTCAGTTTCTCCATTTAGAAAACAGTTGGATGACCTTTCTGCTGGTATTCCAGTATGACATATAGGGGTCTCATTTTCCATCCTAATCATCTCATCCATGTATTTTTTTTAAGTACATATGTACAATCCCCAGAAGAAATTCATAAAAAGCTATTTTTTCAGCTCTTCATATTTCTAATAATGTTTTTGAAACTCAATACTATTTCAGCTTTTCAGGTCATTTGCATCTTCAGGTCAATTATATCTTCAAGTCAATTGTTGTGTTATTGCAATTTTTAATACAAGCCAGAACATAGGAAAGGACATGCAGTCATAACCCAGCCCATGCTGAAGTGAAAGTTCCAGAAGGAGAATGAATAAAATTAGAACTGATGAAATAGGACAGCAGCAGAGCAACAGAGGAGGGAGGATGATGAAGTACCTTGAAATAATGATTCAGGGTTTCTATCTTTTGCAGAAGCTGATGGGAGGCCCTAGACGTCTCACCTGTCAGACAGGGAAGTGGTCCTGTCCCTCTGGTTAGCACTGCTTGTATTCTCATTAAAGCCCTGTCCATTGAGGTCTTATTTGAAAAACGAAGTAAAAAAAAGTGAAGCAGACTTAAGGAGCACAAAGAGCTGGAGTATTAAAAACAAATTCTGTGAACTACACTAAAGGGTAGAGTGCTCTATTTTTAGTCATTAGAAGAGAAAGCTTTTGGTGATAATAACTATCTTTCAGGAATACAAAAAGCTTTTTTTTTTTTTAAAGAACCCGCTACCCACTTAGTCGCCATTACTACAAAGGATCAAAGAAGCGGGGCAAGGCTGTAGAAACACACAAGAGTTTTTCTGACCCTAATATGGGTGATGAAGCCACAGCTGAAAACTTCCAAGTGTAATACAACCAACTGTAGGTTTTGTATTCATCTGGATGCAAATGGCTCGCCCAGATGACGTCTTGTCCTCCCCGTGTGTTATATGTGCGTTCTGTGTATCACGGATCATTTGTCAGTGGCTTGAACTGTCCACGATGTGAACTCACACCGTGACCAGAAAAATCCATTATGAGAAAATTCTTACAACTAGTTCGTGATACCAAAATTCCACTGTAAATCCTAATAACTTCTTGACGAATGCCGTGTATCTACTGGAGAGTGTCAAAGTAACCCCCCCTGGAATGTGAACCCAGTCCCACAACCAGGGTCTACAAGATGTCGGAGGGTAGGTCTCAAAACTCCTTTAGCCACGTCGTGAACATTACACTCAGTTCCAACCGAGCAGCTAGGCTCAAACGCAGCGCAAATCCTGTGTAACTCAAGGTACCAGCTACTAAATAAGCACAGCAAATTGTTTCTCTGTTATCTGAGATAAATGGGGATTTTCTTCAAGATGCCAAAAGCAAGGCTGGAATTTGTCTGAGAATGCAGATTCTGAAAGGATGAGCTGTGGTTTCAAGAGGCTTCTTTAAAAAGTGGACATTTGAGACGCGCCCCATGTTGCTTCTGAAATACACGTAGGTCTCAAAACTAGAAATATCCTGGAATGGAGTTCGCAAAATGGAAATCTCTGTGCGATATGCCCTTGTGGAGCTCACGTAACTATGTATTTTCTGAGCTATCAAATTAAGAAAATAATAGAAATGGAGAACAACAACCATAAATAATCTACTTTGTTTATATTATTGCGCTTTCACAAGCAAAACAACATTACTATTATGTAATTAATTTTGCTAGGACTTTCTAGAACTGGATGCTGATAATGCTAATTAGGAAAAATGGTGTTGAAGAAAAGTAATCAGATCTTGGTCATTCATGTACCAATGAAGTTCGATACTTTGCTCGTGATACTAAACAGCTTGCAATAAGACTTAAATTTAACCTTTTCATCTTTATTCTCTGACTTTTATTGTTTTTAATGTATTCTTTATAAAAGGTACACTTTTATAATGTGTAAAACATATATACCTTTCAGGATACATTTAATTTGAAAAGTTCGGATCGCAAATGGCAAAAGTCACACATTTCCCCTTTTATGTTTAAAATAGCAAAAGTATAAATATTTAAAACGTGTTCTTTCACGACTTTTCCCTCAACCAAAATGTTATGGGCTTATGTTTTAAACTCGAATCATTTATACAACTGTAACAACCTTCTTAAAAGAAAAAAACCTGTATGATTTGTTTCATTCATATTATAGTTGAGGTTTTAATAGTGAAGTATACTTCCGTCAGATTTCAAATTTAAACATACAGGCTATATTCAACTTGAATATATCAACTTGATTCATACTACAAGGCTATGCTGTATATCTTAACTTTTAAAAAACGTGATAAATGCTTCAAGAGCTAATCGTTGATTAATCTTACCAAGATACATCTTTTAGAATGGTGTTCAATAATTTAAAATACAAAGCAAGTTTATTCAATGTCTGTGTGAAACTTACATTTATTTTTTCCAAATAATATCACATAATATATTATGTCAATTCTTCTTCAACAGAATTTCACTGGGAGTATAAACACACACACACACACACACACACACACACACACACACACACATATATATATAAAGAGCTACTATATTAGTACTTATAAAGATGAACTCCCAGCTACTTATAAGTAATGTAAATATTATATTTGAATCTGTTATTTGTATATTTAAGTCTGATTTTACTTTATGGTATGCCACATGGGTTATAAGAAAACTAGAAAATCTTATTATATTTTAATGGGCATTATTAGCTCTTCATATAATCAGTAGTGATATAGATAACCCTATGTTTACACACAATTTGACATAGCTTATATATCAGTATTCATTAGCCAGCCTGATAATACTGTTCTTAAAACTGCAAGGTTAATATTTTGTTTTGAGACTATAATTATTATCATAAAACTCATGAAAAGCATTCTGGAACATCCATGTTTTATTTTGTTTGCAAGAGGAGGTCTAGTTGTCTTACAGGAAAATGACAAATTGCAATGGCTCACTTAAGTGCATATAGATTGTTTAAACTATTTTCAGTACTAGAAGAATCATTCAGTGATTGATATTTAATGGTCATGACAGAGCATCATATTTTTAAAAATTGTTTTCACGTTCTTTCTGCCCGAGATTGGATGCACTTATCTAGGCAAGTTACTCAAAGTATGTTTTGAAGAGATCTGTATATGCAGGACAAATCTCATTCCCTATGACAGTTAGTTTTGGGAAGGCAATGGGAACACCTTACAAGGTCCTCCATGATTCAGGCACTGTTTTGTTTTGTTTTTTTTTTGTTTTTTTTTTTTTACATTCGAAAGCATATTGCATTTACATTTTAGATTCTTACAGCACATATGAAAATTCCTTTCATTATTATTTATGTATACCTGGACATTTTCATCAGAAATTCAACAAAAATGTGGTAAAAACTGAGAAAGATACATATGTAAGGTCATTAGCTAAACAAACTGCTAATTATTATTTGCTTTTTAAATGTCCTCTTTTCATACAATTTACAATATTTGGTATTTACTTTCAGCAAAATAAATTTCTTCCTATTATGCACAGGTATACACAGATCCTACAAGATACAAAATGGACGTGTTGTCAGGTAACACACTTTAGTGACTTGAATCATAAGTATCAGGTATATTTCACATTATTATGTACTCCAAAGTATTAAACCCTCTTTTTGTTTTCAGAAATGGCAACATGTTTTTCATGAGTTGAGCGAACCTCGGTCCTTGAAAGAGTTTTCTTCTAACTCCCGGGTATCAATCCTGGCTATTGTAGTAATTGGATGATTCCCAGTTAGCCAGTGGGAATGAAGTGAAGGGATGGCAAGAAAATTGCCTGAAATGTCTTTAAAAGGAGCCGTCTACGTTATACTCTATGACTTCCTGGCGGGTTCCCCATGAGACCATATAATAGAATCCATTTCCACTAATGCACTCAAATAGATTTTAATGGTGTTAGGTGTACAAGTCAGATATATAAGTATCCAGACAGAAAGCTGACCTCTATTCACTTTTGAAAGGAGATCAATACTGTTTTGCCAAGATATTACATAGCAGTGTCTCAGTGAGACTCTTGTAATGCCACAAGTAAAGAAAAATGATACCTTAGCACTCTAAGCTGAAACCCCACCGAGCTTAGATCTGAAAAGATCAGCTGGATATAGAAAATAGCAGTAAGATCTTTGTATTTCACAGAGGAGAAATCTTTTTTTGTTGAGATATCTAAAGCAGTGTCATTCCAGTAGTATTTATGACTTTGTTAAGAGGTAGAAGAAAACAAGTATTCCTGAAATATTCAAGTAGTTGAGTTCAAGTGACTGTAATTTTCCTGACGACTACCAAATTTTTCTTTCCGTAAAAATCAGCTGACATCATATTCAAATTAGAAAAATTAGAAACTTTTTTTTTCCGCTGAGGATAGTAATGAGATGCTGAGACTATTACATTGCCTGTGGACTTATGCACCCTGTAGTTCAGGGCTCCTCCAAGAAGGAACACAGACATTCCTAACTATCTGATGCATTTGGAAAGTTCTACCCCATTCAGAGCATACTCCTGAAGAATCAGCAATCCTCCCAAGTCCTAATGGAAGCAGGATATAGTGACTTCAGACTGCAGTACAAAATGCATTTTCACTTCACTTAGAAGGCATCACTTTTCACTCGGTCAAGAGATACACAGCATTGGGAGAAGTAGCCATATTTAGTTAAGTTTGCCTTTGATAAAATTAAAATCTGCATGGATATTAAATATATTTTCTTCACCAAAACAATTTTTTTCTCTTTCTTGCAGTCTGTATTTAAGGAATATAATATGATAGCTTGATATGCATAGTCAAATAAGTGTACTCAAGCAAAGCAATATATTTAATATATTTAATCACCTCCCATAGTCAGCATGTGTGTGTGTGTAAAAATCTTACATCTTCTCTCTTAGTAAATTTCCAGTATACAACATAACACTATTACCTATAGTTTTCATGCTATATATTAGATTTCTTGACTTATTCATCCTACATAAGTTCAACTTCATACTTTGGACTGACATCTCCTCATTCGATGCCAGCCCACTCCAATAACCATCGTTCTTCTCCTGTTTCTTTGTATTCCGTTTTTGTAAGATTATAGATATGAAATAAATTCTAGTTTTTCTTTCGTGTTTGGTTTATTTCTCTTGACATAATGCCCTTCAGTTTCATCCATGTTTTCACAAATGACAGTATCTCCTTTTGTAAAGCTGAATCATGTTCCACTCATGCATTGGTGGATGCCTAGGTTCTTTACATACCTTGGCTATTGTGAATGATACCTCAGTGAACATGGGAGTGCAGCTATTTCTATGAGGTGCTGGTTTCATTTCCTTTGGTTTTAGATACAACAGGGGGATTGCTGGGTTATATGATATTTCTATGTTTAATTTTTTGAGGAACCTCCATACTCTTCCATTATTGGCTATACCAATCTATATTCACACAAACAGTGCACAGCAGTTCATTTCTTTACATCTTTGTCAACATTTATCTTTCATTGTTTTGATAATAGCCATACTAACAGATGTGAGGTAATATTTCATAGTTTTGATTTGTATATCCCTGGTGATAAGTGATGTTGAGCATCTTCCAGAATAGTTTGTATTTCAAATTGTTCAGAATCTGATTTGTAGTAGTCAGATTCATTCTTTTTTATATTTGATGATTCTTAGTTTATACTTGTCTATCACTAGGCAGTAGAATAAAAAGAGATTGTTCTACTCATCAAACCCACCAACTACAAAATCACATGTATTTATTTCTTCTTTCTATATGTTAAACATGATACTAGGCATGAGGAAATATGGATGAGGAAAACACAATTCCTATGTTTCAGTAAATTACATGGATAGGGACAAAGTATATGGATCGCAATAGTTTAATTTGATTAGTCTTTTGCTGGAAGAACTTTATTGCCGAGTTGCATTTGTAAGTTTCCAAAGCCTTTTTCATACTTCCTCCTTAACCCTCATGTTACTCTTGAGAGGTTTATTATTAGAGTGGTTTTATGAATAATGCTATAAACACAATAATTAACTGTTTATTTAAATTCCATTCAAATAAAAATTGTCTTCCGGTGAAGTAGGCAGGGCAAGCTTAAGAGCTGGTGAATTGTAGATTCACGAAAGTTAAGATGTTTGATCAAGGTCACCAGGTATGTTTGTACCAGAGACGGCACTAGGATCTTGGTTTTCCCTTGGCTTCTAGACTTTCCTTCTGTGTTCCTTATGGCCGTTGTTGATCTTTAGATGGAATTCTAAGTCACAAAGTATGGACCAAGATGATTTTTCAGAAACTTTATAAATATTCCAAATAAGAAAATTATTTAGCCAGTCGTGGTGGCTCACACCTGTAATCCCAGCTCTTTGGGAAGCCAAGGCAGGTGGATCAATCGAGTTTAGGAATTCGAGAGGAGAGCAGCCTGGCCAACATGGTGAAACCCTGTCTCTATTTAAATACAGAAATTAGCCTGGCATGGTGGCATGTGCCTTTAATCTCAGCTATTCAGGGGGCTGAGGCAGGAGACTTGCTTGAACCCAGGAGGCAGAGGTTATAGTGCGCCGAGATCATGCCTCTGCACTCCAGCATGAGTGACAGAGCAAGACTCCATCTCAAAAAACAAAAAAAATTATTCAAATGAGAAGTAGTAGCTGATAGTTTTGCATTTAATATAGTTTGTCATATTTTCCTTGAGATAATACATGGTACCATGTTATTCTGGTGCAATAGATTTTGAGAAGAAGGAATTTCACATTGCTTTCTGTGATATTTGGAAAAATTTTTCCAACTTTTCCAAAAATGATACATTCCCTTTATATATTATTACTAAGAAACATCAAGGAACAAAAGTATATGAAATATAAATATATATATATATATGTTATATGTATGTATACGTCTAGCTTTGTGAAGCAAAAATACAAAAACTCCAAACCACAGATTAAGAGGTGGTATTTTACATAAAAAATATTTCATTTAGAAAAAGCCTCACCACAGGAATAATTTCTTTAAAATATTTAATGATCTGTAAGTAAGCACTTAAACTTGGTGAGAATGACTGATTATTTTGTAGGTAAAATGTAGACAAAAAATTTAAAGTGAGGTGACATTAGCTATCAACAACTGTTAAAATCAATAAAAAGTGAGGTCGAATATAGATATGTGAGCCCTGCATAGGGAGTCCTTTCCCATATTTTATACTACTTTAATGAGATAAAATTTTATTTATGAAAGTAAAAGGCAGCAATAGTTCAAGCTCTCAAAGGGAAATAATAATTTGTACTTTGAAAATCGTAAGTGCATATTAGGAATTCTTTAGGTAATTTAAAACTGGGTAGCTTTTACTGAAATACATAAATCAAATTACTTTCATCTGGAAGTACAAATAAATGGAAATTTAGCTTTTGAACAAAATAGGAAAAGGATTCAAGTTTTTATTGACCTTACCATCCCAAAGTTCTATGCTATCTTAGAAAGGATGCAATAATTCTTAAAAATAAGTTTGTTGTGAAGATTTTTTTTTTGTAGGTGGGGGTGGGGACTAAATTACTTACAATGCGCTTGAAGAAAATGAGAGTCCATTTCTGGAAGAAAGGAAGCAGCAAATGCCTGAGACTTATAATGATGCTTTTAATGCAACAGAGAATTATAGGGCAGGAAGGGAGGGAGAGAAAGAGAATGAGCAGGCTCAAGCGCATTGGCACGTGAGAGAGAAGGAAATAGATTAGAAAACCCTTATTTCTTATTAGGCTTCATTTATTTATCTACTTTGTTAATTTAGTCCTGAAGATAACTTGCACAAAATGCAAAATCTAAAACATGACAATGTGTGCCATCTAGTCTCCCCCACCCCTGCACTTTCTCTAGCTGTGTAGTCTTTTTTTCACCTGCCTTTCTCCAGGCCATCATTGTCTTTAGTTTCTTGTTCATCATTCAGAGCTTCTTTGTGCAGAAACCAACCACATTAAAACAAAATTCTAGCTCTCTCTCTTTTTTTTCTTCACCAGTGAAAACATAATATAAACTTCAGTTGTTTTCCTTTTTTCTCATACCTACATATCTTCAAAGTTTTTCATATCAATATATAATGAACGTTCTCATTTTTCCTGTCAGTGTATAATGAACATTCTCATTTTTTAATACAATGTCATAGAGTTCAAAGATACGTATTTTCATTCATTTACATTTTGGTACTTTTTAGGGAGTATTATATCTTTAAAAATTTGGTCTTGAATATTTCATGTTAATTTCCTTATATTTTAAGTTTCTATTGCTTTAAAAAGAGTATTTTCTTTTATAAAATTGGTTGTTTTTTAATAGAAAAACTAGTCTTTTATGATAATTTACTTCCTGTCACCTATTGAATTCTTTCTTAGTTTAAAATAGATTTTTTAAAAATTGATTTTATTTGGTTTTCCAGTTTAAAATAATATCAAAATTCAATCGTACTATATGTTTATCTCCTCCTTTTCATGTTTTATAAATTTTTTCTTTCTTTTTTCAAATTCCCTTAGCTAGTACTTAATGTAAAATATTAATTGACAGCGGGAATATTAGTTATTCTTTTCTAGTTCCTGTCTTCAGGAGTGATGTTTCTAAGATTTCATTCCTGCTTAAGAATCAGCCTGGTTTTAGTGGTGAACTAGATGTGTTTTATCATGTTAAGTTGACTCCAATTTATGTATATTTAGGTGAATTTTACCAATAGTGATAATTGATTGTTAATATAAGAAATCGTTATATATGTTTTTTAAAATTTTGATAGATTTGTATGGTTTAGCATGGTGGCTCACACCTGTAATCCCAACATTTTGGGAGGCTGAGACAGGAGAATCACTTAAGCCCAGGAGTTTGAGACCAGCCTGGGCTACATAGGTAGACCCTGTCTGTACAAAAATAATGTAAAATATATGCTGGGCATGGTGGCATGTGCCTGTCATACCAGGTACTTTGAGGAAGTGGGAGGATCTCCTGATCCAGGGAGGTAGAGGCTGCAGGGAGCTGTGATTGTGCCACTGCCCTCCAGCCTGGGGTACAGAGCAAGACCCAGTCTCAAAACAAATAATAAAATAAAATAAGTTTGATAGATTTTATAAACTTTACTATTGTTTGCCACTGTTTTATACTTCTTCTGTATCAATACTTTAGTCATCCTATTTATTTTTAGATAATTTAATAAAAAGCTATTAAATATTCTTGGACTTAATGTGAAGAGATTCCTGGGGTGGCGGTAAGATCTGAAAGGGTCAGATAGTCTACCTTTGTATGCTTTTATTGACAATCTGACAGTTTCTGACAGAGACTGATTGCTTCCTGCAAACATGGCTCCACTGTATGTGATTCTCTTGGTTACCCAGCCTCTTCGGAATCACAGTTCTGTAAATTCCTTCCCACTCACACCAGTGCTTTCCCCGTTGTAGAAATATATATAGTTCCTACTGCTTGTGGATGGATGGATGGATGTATGGATGGATGGATGGATGGATAGATAGATAGATAGGTAGACAGACAGACAGATTGATAGGTTTGTAACTGAATCTTGTCATAGGTAGATACATATATAGAAAGGGGTGTGTGTGTATATATATATATATAGTGTGTGTATATATATAGTGTATGTGTATATATATAGTGTGTGTGTATATATGTATATATGTATGTATATGTGTGTGTGTATATATATGTGTGTATATATGTGTGTGTATATATACGTGTGTGTGTGTATATATATATATATATGGAGAGAGAGAGAGAGAAGGGCAGGGTCAGAGATGCTTCTTTGAGGCCCTATTTTCATCCTGCCATTACCAAGGTAGCTATGTTATGTATTTGGAACCTGTTAATACTGTTACTCCTCATCAAATTTTTCTCCTGACTCCCAAATATCTCACTGTATACCCTAGTTTTTTTTCCTAATGATTATTTTCTCATGATTAGAAAAAAATAGTTTTTCTCGGGGCAGAGAGGGAAGAAGGTAGGACTTATTTTTCCTATTTTTCTTTGTGATATTCAGGAATAAAGAGGAGAAAATGTGTCCTCATCAACCCAGGCTTCTATACCAGGAGACTTGGATTTTGTTGAAATGGAATTATACTAAGTTTCATTTTTTAACCTATTGGATCTCATTGTTAAAGTCTAGATATGATTTTTTTGCTTAATCTTCTAGAGAATTAATTTCAATCTATATACACACAAAATTTGGTTGTTTCAAATTCATTAGTTGCTAAGAGATGTTTGAAAATGGCAAGGAAAAAGGCGAGACACTGATTTCTTTCCTGCCACACTTGTTTATTTAGACCTCAGTTTTTAGTTAATTCTCACAAGACTACAAAATTAAAATCATCTTGAATAGTCCTCTAATTATCAGATATATTTAGAATTTAAATACTTTTCTTAAATGCTGAATAGGCCAGGAATTCGGGAGACCTGTGTTAATCCATATTCTGCTACTCATTTCTATAAGAATATAGTAAATTCCTTTAACATCTGTGCCTAAAATTTATCTGTCAATTAAAAGTAGGTAAGTGTAAACATAGATAATGGATGTTGAAGTATTATGAATACTTTAAAAACCTTCTATTAATAACTGAAAAATTCTGTTTTTCAGATATTAATCTTGATGTCCCTTGTATACATTTATGAAAAAGTCCCATCCTTGTGTTGGCCTTCCAAATTCAGTGATCAGTCACTTGATGTCATGCCTGTTTTCTCTTGAAGAAGACATTTCCTCAGCCACATGACCTTCTTTGTGCCCTTTCTGGGTGTTGAGGGAGATGGATGAAGAGCTGGCATTGTCTTGAAGTGTAAGGATTCTTGGCAGACAGCCTTCTGTTCTCTAGATGAGCAGTCCCCATTGGGTGGCGCCTGCTCAGGGGGATTCCTCGCTGAAGTGTGAAGTCAGCCTGGCTCACCAGGCAGGTCATCTCACAGCTCTGTGAGTCTCCCGACTAAGAGTCCCTGCCCCCAACCCAGCTCTAACAGCAGCTTCTCTGTCAGCTCCCTTACTATTGGTTGGCTTTGGAATCTGCCCTGGCCCCTGTGCTCTTTGGACCACTGGTAAGATTTAAGCAGTCATCACAGGACCTGATACACATTTAACGAAGACGATTTACAAGACAATTTTAGCTATTATGTGAAGAATAGACTCTAGAGGAACCAGGACAGAGCCAAGGACCCTTTAGGAGGCAATTCCCGTAATCCAAGCAAAGTCCACTTTGGTTTGGTCCAGAGGGGTAGTGCTAGAGATAGGAGGACGGGCTCGTTTTGAAGGGGGAGATAACAGAATTTGCTGACAAGTTGGATATGTGTGAGAGAAAGAGAGGGGCTGAGGGTGATACCTTGGTGTTTGAGTTGAACGCCTAGAAGGGAACAGTTGCCAAAATTAAGATGAATCTGGAAGAGAAATGATTTTGAAGGGAAAAATCAGGAGATCATTTTTGTTCACGTTAAATTTTGGATGTCAGTGAGGCATCCGCAGAGAAGTTCAGGGTGGACCGTTGGATATATATACGTGCAATTAAAAGGGGAAGTCTGATCTGGAGATACAGATTTGAGGATTATCAATTTATATGTGGTATTTAAGCTGTGAAACCATATGAGATTGTCAAGGGAATGGGTAAATAGAAAACAGAGATGAATAAAGGTATCTGTTTTACATGTTTATATTATATTCAATTTTAATATTGCTCTTTGATGAAGCATTGCTTTGTAAATTTCTGAATTACTTTGTGTAAACCAAACAGAAATCATGTCAAATTAGCTTTAAGTAACCCTTAATAATTTTGTCAGAGCCAAACACAGGTTAGGTTATGAATTCAAATTCATAAAAACACTCAGACATTCTTCATATTTCTTCGTTTTCTTTTTCTGCGAAATAATAGAATAACTAAAGCATAGTTAGTTTATAGTTACGTTAATCTTACTAGTTTTTGGATCTGAACTATAAGTGATGAGAGGACTGGAGTGTTTTTGGATAATTATCTGGACTTAAATAACAGACCCTGAATAACATAAAAAAATGCTTGAAATGTTAAAATGATATGAAATTATTGCCATCTGTGAGCATAAAGGGAAATACAGTCTAATTTTACAAAAACAGCAGCAGAATTCTCTAGACACCTTCCAAAAAGTCTGCTATGGATCATAGTCAAATTATACAATTATTCTAAAGGTATACAGATTTTTTTCTTCGGTTTTAAGAATTTGGAGCAAAAGAAAAATCTAATGTTACTGTTTATAATGTTGAGTCTATTTTAATCCCAAATTTTTCCTAACATTATTTTTCCTCTATTATTTCAGCAAAATTTAAGTGGCATAATTTCTACAAGTGGAAATTTGTATTCTCGAGTAAATTTGAACTGCCTAGCTTCTTTTAAATGAAATTAAAGACAAGTATGTCTTTCTGGGGAAAGGGCCTGTGTTTTTGGATGAGTGGTGTGAATTTGAATCTCAGCTGTGTTATTCAATAACCCTATGAACTTGGGAAAGTTCCGACTTCTCTTTGGGCCTTCTCTATCTGTTATGTTCAATTGGGCAAAATTATTAAAGTATTTCTGAAAAGTTAAGTAAGATGAAGCATATGAAAGCGCTTATGTATTTTGACTTAGAATTTCCATTTCCTTTTTGGGGAGATTTTATTTTTGTCTTTCAGTTGATGCACATTTTTTAATTTCTTACACATATTAATTTAAATTCTTGACCCCCTGACCCCAAACTTTGCAAGTGTGAGAAAGGTCTAGATTTCTTTTTCTTAAAGAGAAAAAAGATGGCATCTGTTTGTTTAGGATGAGTATATTTCTGCTGACTCTCAGGGAGGTGGCGGAATGACAGAGGAGGCGTCAACACGGTGGACGTGGAGCTTGGTGTTGGTGTGCAGAACACAAGGTATTCTTTTTTTTTTCTTTTTGAGACAGAGTCGCGTTCTGTCACCCAGACTGGAGTGCAATGGCATGATCTTGGCTCACTGCAACCTCTGTCTCCCGGGTTCAGGTGATCCTCCTGCCTCAGTCTCCCGAGTAGCTGGGATTACAGGCACCTGCCACCATGCTTGGCTAATTTTTGTAGTTTTAGTGGAGACGGGGTTTTACCATGTTGGCCAGGCTGGTTTTGAACTCCTGACCTCAAGTGATCCACCCTCCTCGGCCTCCCCACAAGCCCAAATTTTATCTCCACCTCCACTTTTGGCTTCTGCCCATCTTCAAAAGATAGGAAAATTAAAAGGACAGAAGAAAGCATGCAGATTAGAATGACACCCTCCTAGAATGATCTCCAGCCCAAGCTTCTCAGAACTTACCTGTCCGTGGAGTTGCCTCAGGGGCCAGGTTTGGGGTTTGGGGAGGAGGCCGTGAGGCAGTGGCGAGCAGCTGGAGCTCTGGGTCCTGACCTCTGTTTTGTTAAGAGACGTTCCACTTTTTTATATTGTTATGTGAGAACTTTATGCATTATCATATGGTGAAACCCCGTCTCTACTAAAAATAAAAAATTAACTAGGCGTGGTGGCAGCCGCCTGTAGTCCCAGCTACCCGGGAGGCTGAGGCAGGAAAATCACTGGAACCCGGGAGGCGGAGATGGCAGTGAGCCGGTATCGCGCCACTGCACTCCAGCCTGGGCAAGAGAGGGAGAGTCTGTCTCAAAAACAAAACAAAACAAAACAAAACAAAACAAAACAAAACAAAAACACAAAGCTGACTAATAAAAAGATAAAAGCTATGGCAAGACACCACACCACCGGATGGGTCTTTAAGCATCCCAGGTTTCCAAAAACCAACTTAAACTACACTCTCCTGCTCCGCATTCCTTCTGTACTTGAGTAATTGGCTAATAAATCTGAAACTAATTTGGTCTAAAGTGTTAATGGTTGATAATGATTTAATGTGTTTCCCCACCCGGGGAACACATTTGCATTTTAATAGAGGTCCTAGTGGCAATTTTCTTAACTCAAATGAATGACTTTAATGGTGGGGATTTGAGGTGCAGCGGGGACCGATTCTGGCAGAAGACCTTTCCCAGTATCCCTAAGATCACACCTTGTAGTCAGGCAGCCTAATATCATTAATATTACTGCCAGTAATTCCCGTGGATTTGCCTTTATAGAAAATTTTCCTTTTTCTAATTGCGAGACTTGTATGTCAATCAAGCACCCTTTTTGAAAATTGTCTTCTTCCATCCATCGGCATGGATGTCTACTAAAATATATCCAGATTAGACCTCTCTGAAATAGAAACTTTAGATAGTACAGTCATGTATGTGCCTCAGCACGAAACCAACAGGCAGTGGTCCCAAAAGAAAGAAGGAGGAAACAAAACACCTTTAATATCACAAGTGAAAAAAGAGAGAGAGAAAAAAACACACCGTCACTATTATTATCTATTTGTGAAATGTTTACTAGTTGCCCAATTAGAGGAAAAAGATGCTGCAAATCTCATCAAAAATAAACAAATCCTAGATCTTAAATATCTTCAGTATTCTAAAGCCCCTTCTTTCTGTTCTCTTCTATTTCACTTACTATCTTTGCTCTGATAAAGGGATAAGGAAAATAAGGGAAATTTTCCTGCAAGCAATTAGCCATTTCTGCTTTGACATGGGAAAAAAAATTGTGAGAAGGGTTCAGAGTAAGAGTAGGTAGTCCTGCATCCTTCTGGTTTTATTTTTGACCTACAGATTATTAGACAGTTCTGTGTGTGCCATGTACAAATCAAAGGGTTTTCCGTTCTGGAAATGCGTGGTTGGAAGTGACCATCATTAAATTACATCTCCCACACTGAAGTGTACTCTCACCTACATGTATCCTCAGCCAATTTTGAATGATGCTATTTGCACTGAGGATCATGAGTAGAGGTCAAGAGCTAATGGATTCGCAGACATTTGAGCCTGAAGAAATGAAATAGAAGAGGTTCACTGGTCTATGCCATCCAGCTTCAACCACGGTCAGTCCCATTGATTGACTTCCAGGGGCATTGCCTAATTTCTTCTTCATGGCAGTGAACATGCATTTTATGGGATTTCTCCTGAGAAAATCTCTTCTAGATTTTCTCTGTAGACTCTTAGGAAGCCACATATTTCAAATCACTGACTTGAGTTTAAAACTGTACCGCAAATGAGATGTGCACAGTAGCCAGCCAGCTCAGTCCCTTTCCTGTAGTAGGCACTTAATCCAGCTGGTATTATTTGTGCCATCATCACCATCTTATTAACAAAGATCATTATTATGATAGAAGAAAACTACTTGGTTCGGGACCTTTTTTAAGGCTCCTGTGAGGAAAATTAAAAACAAAAAACAAAAGCAAACAAAAACTACATAAACACACCAAACTGAAGGAAATTCTGGAATTATATTGAAATTGTTTTTAGACTCAAAGACTTTAATGGATTTTTTTTTTAAATTTACCTACAGTAAAGAAGTATTCCTGGCTTTTCCGACTGCAAAAATAATTCTCTTACAGACTATATTTCTAATTTAGTACCAATATATTTTTTTTTCAAATTTCTCTGTCCTTTGTTGAAAACCTTCCATAGCACTTTTTTTTTCAGGACAGATGTCCCAAAAATACTTTCTCTGAAAATAAATTTTGCTTTACAAAAATAAAAGGTACTTTCACACCTTTGTTTGAAAATGCAGCTATTACTAAACAATTTGTCTTCTGAGAATCACTGGTACGAAAACTATGCAATTTAACATTAATTTCCTGGAAACTTTGGCTATCAATAAATAGTCAAAACAAAGGTTTAATTTGCCCTTCAGTTTATTGGATAAATAGAAAATGACCTAAACAAGTGCTCTTTTATAAGTGTGATGATTCTCACCACCTCATTTCATAGCATGATTAACATTTTTTACTTCAAATTTGCCTTTCCAAGTATGAGTAATAAAAGGATCATGGTTTTTTTTTTTTGTGAGAAAATTGTTGAGAATTTCATCCATTTTACCAAACTTCTCTTATAATAATTTGCTATTTACATAAGACTGTTTTCTGAAATATCATGTCATGATTTTGCCTAATTTTATTTTCTTTAGTTGCTAACTAGAAAAGGCCTGGGCACATCTGTCCGTCACCTCACATGTCACTCAAGTACACATCCAAGAGCACCATCATTTGTCTCAGGATAGGGCATGGTCCTTTTATGTTTGGACTCAGGCCATTTTCTAGTTATGTAAGTCTTTTTTCTCATTGTTCTTTTATTTTTATTTATTATTATTATTATTTTTGAGACAGAGTCTTACTCTGTCTCCCAGGCTAGAGCGCAGTGGTGCGATCTTGGCTCATGTCATCCTCCACCTCCCGGGTTCAAGCATTTTACCTGCCTCAGACTCCCAAGTAGCTGGGATTACAGGCATGTGGCCCCATGCTGGGCTAATTTTTTGTATTTTTAGTAGAGACGGGGTTTCACCTTGTTAGCCAGGGTGGTCTCCATCTCCTGAGCTTGTGATCCACCCATCTGAGTCTCCCAAAGTGCTGGGATCACAAGCGTGAGCCACCGCACCCAGAAGCCATTTTTCTTTTTAAATAACCACCCCCACCATCTTCTCCTGGCACACTTACTCAATGTAATTTGAGAGAGACAGAGATACATATATATATATATATAATATTCCATTATATATCAATATATAAAGTTTATATTGTATTAAATATATTTATAAATTTATATATTTAATAATATATTTTTATTTACTTCATATGTTTATTTAAATATATAATTGAAGTATTAATGTACTTTAGAATATGTTTATATGCGTTTAAATGTATACACATATACATTATATATTTAACATGCAAATGTATATAAAATGTGTATAAATATATGTATTTCATAGTACCTTGAATAAGAGCACACTGAAGATACGTATATATATTTTATCTTGTGTTGGTACTGGGCAGAGGAAAGCATGCAGACAGGAATTAATCCCCCCTTAGAATAACCTCCAGGCGAAGGTTATCAGAACTTGCTTTTCCTTGGGCGATATTTTGTGTTCTTGCCCCAGATTTTCCAAATCACTAGTTATCAAGTCAGCTTAGTGGCCTATTTGAACTATCAAGTGATATTTTTATTTAATTACCCAGTTTTTATCAAAATTTCTAAATCGACCTGATATTTTCTTCCAAGACCCTGTTTTTTCTTATGGTTTCTAGTTTTTCAATCCTTGGGCCATTTCAGATGTGTTTACTTTAAACGTTCATTGAGACTTTTCCGTTGATTTCATGTGTATTTTACTCTGCGGGACGACTGGACACTGTGCTCTTTTCCTCTCCTGCCTCTTTCCCCTGTGACTTCTCCCTGGGAGCCATAGGGACGCACTGATGGAGCTCACCTGCACCCAGCCTTCCTGCTATGCTTCCCACAGGTGCCCCAGGCTGTGGAAAACCTTCAGAGTAGGTTAAACATTCATCTTTGCTGAAGACCCCCAGTAGTCTTGGGCTCCTGGCCAGTTTTATATTTGTTTCTTGCCTTTGGACAGCTTCTGCAAATTGAATTTCCCATCCACGGTGAGCAACGACAGAGGCTCCAGCCTCGAGGTCTCTGCCCTCTTTGTACCCTCAGCCTGAGGAAGGTGGCACATGAGGCTCCCCCTGTTCCTTACGTCCTATGGACAGAGTCCCTCTATTTCCTGTGTTGAGGCCAGGGCAGCCCCAAGTAAAAAGAGTCTTTATGTTCGTCCCTTGGCTCCAAATTGCTGCACACAATGGGACATACAGCCTAAACTCCCCCAATCCAACACAGAGGCCTCAGGTATCAACCTCCATAGTTCAGCACCTCCTTCTACCTGCAGTTAGCCAAGGAGTCATTTTTAACTCTACTCCCCACACCAGTCTACAAGAGTAGCCTGGTTCCTTCTACCATCGAGGAATTCCTCTCTCTCGATTGTGAGCTGAGCTATGCATCAAACACCATATTGCTATATTTCGTTCAGAATTTCCATGTGATTAGAGTAAGACATTTTTTCCAACCCAGTCTACCATATTGGGAAGCATATTACTTTGCTAGGGCTCCCATAACAAAGTACCATAGACTGGGAAGCTTCAGCAATAGACATTTATTTTGTCAAGGTTCAGGAGGTTGGAAGCCCAAGATCGAGGTATCAGCAGGATTGCTCTTTTCTGAGGCCTCTTTCTTTGGCTTGTGAATGACCACCTTCCTGTATTTGCTCACATTGTCACTCTCTGTGTGTTTTGAATTCTAATTTCCCTTTCTTATAACAACACCAGTCATGTCGGATTAGGGACCACCCTAATGACCTCATTTTAATTTAAACATCTATTACAAAATCTTCTCTCCAAATATAGTCCCATGCTGGGGGTTAGGACTTTATATATGAATCTTTAGGGGGTCACAATTCCACCGCCACAGTTGGGAAATCTTTCTCTTAAAAAAAAAAATGAATCTGGTTAGGATGGTGTCTATAATGATGACAGAAAACACTAGAAATTTAACCATTCAATGAACTCTTTCTGATTGGCTACCTAGTTTAAGTGACTCAAAGATACAATATTACCTGGCAATCACCTTCCTTTAATTTACCTTCATTTTTAAGAGAATTACTACAGATTGAGTTATTGTGACTTATCAGGATGGTAACCATTACTTTTTCATTGTTCCTATATTTGTTTCTTTAGTGAAACTATTAGCAGTTTTACTTTTTACCAGATACATATTCAGTTTTAGGCACTGAACAGAATAATGAACAAGACAGATGTTGTCTAAATGTTCACGGAGCTTACATTCCACCTAGGGAGAGAGAAAATGCATGTCTATGTAAATGACAATGATTTATATTCTGAAGGGAATCAAGAGTCACACTGAAGGCCAGATGCAGTGGCTCATGCCTGTAATCTCAGCACTTTAGAAGGCCCAGGTAGGTGGATTGTTTGTGGAGATTCAGACCAGCCTGGTCGACATAGCAAAACTCCATCTCTACAAAAAAATAAAAAAAAATACAAAAAATTAGCCAGTGTATTGGCAGATGCCTGTTCTCCCAGCTACTGCAGAGGCTGAGGTAGTAGGATCACTTGAGCCAAGGAGTTTGAGGCTGCAGTGAGCTATGTTCATGTCACTGCACTAGCCTGGGTGACAGAGTGAGATGTGTCTTAAAAACAATAATCACACGGAAACTTCTTTCCCCTCTTTTTTTTTTTTTTTTTTTTTTTTTTTTTTTTTTTTTTTTTTTGAAACAAAGTCTTGCTCTTGTCCCCAGGCTGGAGTGCAATGGTGCGATCTTGGTTCACTGCAACCTCTCCCTCCCGAGTTCAAGCGATTCTTCTGCTTCAGCCTCCCGAGTAGCTGGGATTACAGGCGCCTGCCACGACGCCCGGCTAATTTTTGTATTTTTAGTAGAGATGGGGTTTGACCATGTTGGGCAGGCTGGTCTGGAACTCCTGACCTCAGGTGATCCGCCCGCCTCGGCCTCCCAAAGTGCTGGGATTACAGGAGTGAGCCATCATGGCTGGCTCTTTCCCCTCTCTTGTTGCTCGTTTGCAGTAAAAACCTGGGAATTTAGTTAGCATCTGTTCTACAAGCGGCCTCTCCATTTAACTGTTCACGGACTCCTACGCTGATTTCCCTTCCTAAATCCTCTAAAAATTCAGGCGTTTCTGTTAATCTGACCTTCCACCATCAGCATTCCTGCACTATGTGATCATCTTGTCTTTGTTTCCCAGCACGATTAAAAACATGCTTTTGGAAATCTAGATTTTCTTTGAATAATGTCCCAGCTCTCCTTTGTGATCTTGAAGAAATTAATTTAACTTCTCCAAGCTTCAATTTCCTCATGTTTAAAGACCTAATATTCCTTACCTCCTAGGACCGTTGTAAGAATGAAAATGAGATAATGTATAGAAAGCCTTTAACAACAGTGTCTAGAGTGCAATAACTATTCAATAAGAGGAAGTTATTATTTTATTATTTTCACCCAGATCACTGTAACAGCTTTCTGGCTGTATTTAGTATCTGCTTCATTTTCCACACAGCTGCCAGGGTGATCTTTCCTAATCTCAGATCTGATCACCTTAAGTCCTTAAGTTAGATCTGTCAATGACATTGTCCAAACTTCAAGAGAAAGGTCCTTCATGACTTTGTCCCTGTCACTCTAACCCCAACCTCTGCCAAGCTTCAGATGAGCAAATTACTCATAGTTTCATGAATCAGAAGCTTTTCGCCTTGCCTTTCTCATTTCACTGAACTGCCCTTGCTACTTGTAAGAAGTTTCCCCCATTCTCTCAATCGGGTCAACTGTGTTTATCTGACACAAGTCAAGCACTGTCTTTCTCAAATGCGTCTTCTGTTGCCTCTGAGTGAGAGCCCTTCTCTCTGACCCTCTGCCTCCCCGGCCACATCTCTGTCTTTTGTTTTTTGGACTTTCATGCCATTATTAACTTCAGCCACATTGATGACTAGAAATTGTTTATCTTTATTTCTTCACTCCTAAAATACTGTTTATACTAACTAGACACTTCCTAAATAGTTGAACTAATTTAAACATGGCATAAGTTGACTTAAATGATGCCGAGTTAAATATATTTGTTTATGAAATATGTTGATTTGTGAATAAAAGTATTTAATGCTATATTTACTTTCCCCTTTTGTATTATAGAGACATTTGTGAATTACTGAGCTCATTGGTCATATCATCTGTTATGCTATAGCAATTTCATTATACACTTTTTGTCTGCAGATAACGTAGTCTAATTCAGTATGGAGTATAATAATTTGAAGGGTTATGTGGAAAAGTATTTTATTTATTTCTTATTTCATGGGGTACATGTAAGGTAATGGACAGGGAATTAAAAGAGAAATTTTAGGTCAGATATGTTGTGGGACTTTCAAACAATTAGCAATTGCCAGATATTAGAAATATTTTGGAAAAAATATATTGAAAAAATATATATGTACAGTATATAAATACATAAAATTTTAATATAAAATATGTAATATATAGGACATGAAAATATATAGTTTTTATATATTATATGTTAAAATTTTATGTATCATGTATTGTGTATATATAAAAAATTACATATTTTAAATACATTACTGTTTATTTTTAAAATATTGAAAAAAATTACAGTTCATAAAGGTCATCCTAAGCATTTATCCAGAGGTTTGTTGAAGAGATTTCTTTATCAAATAAGCAGCACCAACAATAGACCTAGTTAAACTATTTTTCCAATAGTCAAATGAAAGAATCTGTATATTTTAAAGTGCCCCCAGGACACTCAGATGCAGCTGGCTCATAGAATAATCTTTCTCCCAGAACTAGACACTCTGTAAGATAGAATGTTATCAATTATTCAGTCATATTTTAAAATATTAGTTAGATTATATTTGTAATGTCCAAATGGTTTCAGACGTTAAAGAGACACTCAGAAAAGAGTGATATTCATATGACACGAGATACAAGGGCCGGAAAGAAGAGCTTCGTTCATGCCGCAGTATCAGAATATAAGATGAGTCAAAAATATCTGTTCAATAAGTACTCCTGCCTTTCAGTCAAAAAAGAAATATGCCGTAGTAGAATCTAGGGGTAAAGAGATAAAGGCTGTGCGCGTTTCCTTTTCTTGGAGAGGATAATTGCAATTGTACACAGCAGGAAGACTATGTGAGCACACTTTTGAATGACAGGCGACTGGGGATTAGGGTTTTGTGTCTTTGGATGACTATGCATGTTCTTGATAGACGCTGGGTTGTCTTACATCATGGTTTCCAGAAAGTATGTTCTTAGAATGGAGTCTCTAGAACATAGAACTATGTGTTATTTTTAATACCCATTGTATTACTCAATTTTCACACTGCTATAAAAAAAATACCAGAGACTGGGAAATTTTTAAAAGAAGGAGGTCTAATTGACTCACAGTTCTTCATGGGTGGGAAGGCCTCAGGAAACTTACAATTATGGTGAAGGGGAAGGAGGAACCTTCTTCACAAGGTGGCAGGAGAGACAGAGGGTGAAGGAGGAACTGTCAAACACTTATAAAACCATCATATCTGATGAGAACTCACCCACTAGCATGAGAACAGCATGGGAAAAATAACTACCATGATCCAAAATTACAGGACGCTTCCTCAACACGTGTAGGGATTACAATTGGAAGTTAGATTTGGACACAGAGCCAAACCATACTACCCATGGAGTTTACTAAGACTTTATTAAAACAAAATTAAGCAGTTTTCTTTACCATAGGGTTTTTGGAGCCTTCTCTAGGGTGTTTTGCCCCATCAGCATAGAGATGCAGTAGGAAGCACTTCCAAGCTCACTCAGGCTGGTTAGGACAACTGCCACTCCCTTTCTCCTGCCTCGACAACTCACACATATCCAGAACATTTGAAAGGACAGGCATTCCATTAAGCAAGCACACAAGCAAACAAACAAAATACTTTTGGAAAAATTGGTTTTCTTTAAATGACCAGTAGAAGGTAAGAATGGTTAAAAGAAGAAATGTACAGAATTAGAAAATACAGAGTTGATCGATGTGGTTATGTTTGGTTGAAAATGTTCTGTAATCAAAAGCAGTCAATTTCTGTATAATGGCACTGAAACATCAGATTAGGAAGGGAGAAAATAGTACTACAAAAATTCAAATTTCTGAAATTGAATTTCAGTCAAGCAAATATTTATTGAAATCCTAGTCTCTGCCAGACACCACATAAACAATAGATAAGTAAATAAACAACTGAGATTCTTACTGATTGCAATAAGTACTGTAATCAAGTCCCAGACAACTGATTTGTGAGTACAGTAAGACACTCAATGCTGAATAAAATATAAAATAAGTAAAAGTCTCTGTTTTCCAAGTATACTTGGGGATAGCACAGGGATTACAAATGCAAATGACTTAAATGACAATGTAAGGTGCTACCAGCGTATTAAATTTGACTTACGTGTTAATAGAGACTGGGGCTTGAGTATTTAGCTAGATCACGGGTCCCCACCTGCCTTGGATGAAGGCCTGTATCAGACGTTGGCCTGTTAGGAACCAGTCTGCGTAGCTGGAGGTGAGCAGCCAGGGAACCAGCATTACTGCCTGAGATCCGCCTCGTCTCACATCGGCATCGGCATTAGATTCTCATAGCATGAAACCTACTGTGAACTGCATGTGTGAGGGATCTAGGTTGTGTGCTACTTGTGAGAATCTAATGCCTGATGATCTGAGGTGGAACAGTTTCATCCCAAAACCGTCCCCCAACCCTGCTGTCCATGGAAAAATTGTCTGCCAGAGAACTGGTCCCTGGTGCCAAAAATGCTGGGGACTGTTGAGCTTGATGATCGGGTCTCTTCGTATCCCAATGCTTTTCTGTATCTGTACTCTGGATTTTAGTAAAATCACTTTAAGATTTTTTTTAAAGAAAATCTTTTAATTCAAGGTCGCAGGCAATGCTAAGTCAACTACTATTTGTCTTCTAGATTACTTTTCTTGAAATATTTAGAAATCCCCAGTTTGGGAAAAATTGAAATATTTCCTTAACACCAAAGTGTTTTCATTACTTTTCATAATTATACTGTATATCTAATTCCTTGCAAAATTGATAAAAACTGTATCAATTTTATAACTTTCATGAAGTATACATGTTTTAAATAATTACAAATTATCCATACATTGGTGATTGCAAGATAGGCTATTCATGCATGTTCTAAGTACGAAATTACAGGTGACAGAAATGATGTTGAGTCCATCGCTATTTCTTCTGTCAGTAGAGAAAGGGAGATCTTTGCAGAAAGGTCCGTGGAGCGACGTATATTTGAAAAACTTTCTGAGAAGATTCTGATTATCTACACTCCCTACTAATTTTTCCACACACTTCCACCATCATTGCCATGGTTGAGAACCGTTGGTTTACACTGTATGAGCTATAGCATCATCCACTGAATTTTGTAAAGAAAATTTGAATCTCCTTAAATGGAGATCCATACTTTTTTCTGCCAGATATTGCATCTAATTAAATATTATATAATATGCCACATTACTCAAATGCAAATTATGTATGGTATAAAATAATTTGCTTAACCCTAAACTGTGAACATTATAAATAAAAATATCGCCAGATTCTTTTCAGCATTTTAAATAATCATTCTTTTTTGAGAGTACCTACTTTTAAAAGTATATTTTGAGACCCTAAGGGTAATTTTGTCATTTTAGAAGTCTACAGTCTATGATGAAAATTCATAATTAACTTTTTAGAGACTTTTAAATAATTTTCTTTAATAATGTTATCCATTAAAGAACTAAGACAAAGAGAAGATATGATGAATCCCGCTATTATTATTTATTTTGCTACCTAACATTTTCCCGCAAAAGGATGCTCTTTCTTTCCTTCCACAGAATAGACAAGAAACTCTACACGGTAGAATTTTTGTACTTAGCAATAGAAATACGGTTGTATTAGTGGTTATTAAAAATGTTTCTTGGAAACGTTTATTTGTGATTCTCAGTGTGTTCTGGACTGGTAATGAGGTTCATTTTGTAAAGGGCAGTGTGTTCTCCTACGGAACCTTTCAGATGATTTATAATTCATGAATGTCTTTTTATTTTTTAAGCTGGTAAATATTTTTATTTTCCCTGTTATTAAAAACAGCAGCAACATTTTGACTGAAGGGGACTATTTAGAATGTTCCAGAGTGAACTTCAAGATGTCATCTTACTCAAGGTTGTTTTCAAAACTGTTGTTCAAAAGTCAATTCTTGGAATTGCTACTTCGGAGAGCAGGAGGGTCAGTTTAGCAAAGATTCCTAATCCAGTCAGAGGCCCATGGCCATGCAGGTCTCAGAAGCAAGGCAACCTGTTGATTTTTTATTTTTATTTTTATTTTAAGTTATTGGGTACATGCACAGGTTTGTTCCAAAGGTAAACATGTACCATAGTGGTTTGCTGCACCTGTCAACCCATCACCTAGGTATTAAGCCCAGCATTCATTAGCTATTTTTCCTAGTGCTCTACCTTCGCCCACCTCATCCCTGACAGGCTCCAGTATGTGTTGTTCCCTTTCCTGTGTCCATGTGTTCTCATTGTTCAGCTCCCACTTATAAGTGAGAAGATGCGGTGTTTGGTTTTCTGTTCCTGAGTTAGTTTGCTGAGGATAATGGCTTCCAGCTCCATCCATGCCCCTGCAAAGGACATGATCTCATTCCTTTTTATGGCTGCATAGTATTCCACAGTGTACGTGTGCCACATGTTCTTTATCCAGTCTATCATTGATGCATCTGTTGATTCTTAATGGAGTTGCATGGGATTCTTCATCCAGAGTAAATATGAGATTATGCATCTTCATTAAATCTTCCACCCAAGGTTTTCTAAAACTTGTTTGAAGAAAGTAACACTTAAAAGTGTTTAGAAAAAGAGGAATGTTATGATTTGTCACCACTCTACTTTTTTTTTTAAGGAGAAAGGTTTGACAGAGGAGATGTGTGGACCTAGCATACTTCAAACTCCTGTATACTGTCAACAGCTGTGGAACAGAACCTGAGAGTCTTGTGATCAACAGCTATTCTCAAATGAGAATCAGTACTGTATTGCTCCCTCCCATGCCCACCATTGATGCTTCCCAGTCCCTCTGGGAGGCGGCCTGGGTGTTCTGTGCTGGGGTCGGGGAGGAGGAGTACTGTGCATGGCCCCTCCCCATCAGACTCTCCAGCTGTGGTTCAGGCACAGGACAAAGTAAGGGAACGCATCCTGGGTGCTCTGTTAGGTGCCTGGCAAGATAAACAAAGGAGTAGTAAGTTCTTAAGCAGAGTTAAAAAAAAAAAAAGCATCAAAGGAAGGATGGCTCAAAAGCAGCCTTCGAAGTTGACTTATCATTGGTATTTGCCAGGTGGAAGCAGACCTGAGAAGTGATGAGAGAGCTCTGAGCAAAGAACAGTCGGGAACTAGGGGCACACAGCGGACGGACTCTCCCCTAGCTGTGGGGGAGCCCACAGCTTTGTGTAAAAAACGAATTTTTGAAGGAGTTGCAACATTCACCTTTCATCCTAACTCTACCCTTAATTTCAATAAAACTCATCTATCAGATGTTTTATGTACTCATACTTTGTTCACTAGTTTGCCTCCCGTTCACCGATAAACCCCAGCTCCTAAACTCACTTATTATTAGAAGTATGTACATGCAGGAGACCGAAGGTTACTTGATACCTTCCACAGTGTTCTCTGCTCCTCTGAAATCTTCTGGTTTTGTTCTCCATGTAACAGGAGCACTGTAGGTCTATTGTTCTTCATCCTTTCTTCCTATTCTTGCTGTTACCTTTTTTTCATGCTCTAATCCGTTCTACAGAAATATCCTTTCCCTTTATTTGTTAACCATTTTTATTGCAGCGTAAGTTGCATATAATAAAATGTGCTGACTTTATGGATATAATTTTGTGAGTTTCTGAATATCATATACAGGTAGAATATAGTATATTCTCTTTATGTGTCCAGTTACTTTCATTTTTTGTGATAGATTGAGTCAGTTGTTTCTGTTAATGATACCCAATTATTTCACTAATTGAGACCTTAAGCAAATCACACTTAAGTTTTTCATCCTTTGAAATATCTTGTCTCTCTATTAGACACCTTTTCATTGTAACATGCATAGTTTTATAGTTTTAAATTTAAAGAATATGCAGGTTGTTTCCAAGCAATGAGGTGTCACAAAGTAAACCTACCTGTTTATAAGTATAAAACTTGTAAAAGCAAAGTATAGCAAATGATCAGGTTGATAACAAATAATATTTTTATAATATGTATTATAAATAATAGATTAATGATAAAATAATCCTTTAAAACATTCACGTTGGTTTATAATACTCACAAAATTTGAGTTTCACCTTTCCTGCTAGAAAACAAGAGGTTCTTTCTTTGATTCCTTTGCTTGGTTTTATTATTTTTCTAAGATTTCAAGATTTTGTTTCATAAACATGAACTGAATAGGTCTTGAAAGGTCAGTTAAAAATAAAAATTAAACAAAAAGTTCACCACTTATTAGAAAAATGACTCTGTGGTGAGCTCCTTCATCTCATTAGGAAAAGGACTCAGTGGTTTCTCCTTCATGGCTCTTTGTGAAGCTTTCTAAGATTAGCGAGATGAAGAAATTGAAGCCATGTATTATAATGAGAGAGAATTACAGAATCCAAGCCTGTCTTATTCTAATCCTAGCTTGTGTATCCAGATAGGGATTTTAATCTTCCAAAGGATTCCATTATATCTGAAAAACTTTGTCTCTTGTTCTTGCTCGCAGTATTGTCAATCTCACTTGTACTCTCTGCATCGGCAAGACCTGTTCATTCTTTAGGTGAGTTCAAGCACCATATCCTTTCCTGACAAACTAACCATGAAACACTGCTTTCCATGAATCACAGTAGAAATTAACACCTCATAAATTGTCTGGGAGATTTTTAAAAATCATATGTACGGATGATGACATTGTTTAAAATGTTCTAAATTTTTATCTGGCTTGTGGTTTCATATCTCAACAAATAAATGCCAAGAGCTCTGATGTTTATATTCTTATTGGTTAAATTAGAAAGAAAGGATCCACACAGAAGAGTTAATAAGACAGAAAAGAACATAAGCTGAGTGTTCGATGTACAGCTTTGACTTTCTCATTAGCACAGATGGATTTGGGGAAAACTTTATAGAATATGACATTGAACCTGGGTCTTGACAATAGAACAGGCATTAAAAGATGATAGAGTGATCAGTACAAGGTGTGAGTTGTGGGTACTCTCAGATGAGTAAGGTTTGGAAACAATTTTCTTATGCAGTATTAAGAGAAGTAAAGCACTCTGCTAGAAACAGAGAGGTACTGTTGGTATAGAAGGAGGAGTGTAATTGCGAATAAACTCTTTGAAAGTTATCCTTTAAGCAAAGGAAAACATTTGAGTATTAACTTTACATACTTAGCAGGCTTTGAGAGGTCCAGAGTGAAACACGGAATTAATTGTTCCAAATCTGGCATCATCCAAGTAAATGATTGAGTAATGAGAAAGCGAAGACCTCAAACTCTAGCAGGACATCTACGTCAAAGCACATTTTTTCCCAAAACTGTGGACAAGCTTTAAGTTAATGAAAGGCATAGATAGTGGAGACACAAAGCATGACCATGGCAAGGCAGTGATAATCCTGACGTGTTCGTTCGACGGTGAAATTGGTGTGTGTGTGTGTGTGTGTGTGTGTGTGTGTGTGTGTTGGGAGGGTATGCACATGTTTAAGAGTTGGATTGCCAAAATGTATTGAAGTAACCCTATTGGTTAGGATTTTCCTGGTTGAAAGCTAAATCAGTCTCAGGTTATAAGAAGCAAGAATTGTTTTTATATGGTGGAATTTTTTTTTTTAAGGGGCAGAGAGTTTAGTAGGTAAGAAGGAAGGGAGAAGGTGGAAGGAAAATGCTCCCCCGTACAGAGGGAGGAGGGCTTCTTCCTTCTGTCTTCCTGTCTTCTCCCTTCCTTCTTGCCTATTAAACTTCCTGCTCCTTAGAACCAAAAAAAAAAAAATTTCTATCATTTCCATTGTATAAAAACAGTTATCTTTAAATCTGTCCCTGTCTCAAAAATAAACTTCCCTGTAGGTGGACTTCTTTAGGCCTAACACACACCTGAGCTGGTTTTCTATCCCAACTGCCTTATGAGAACATAAGCATGAAAGTTTGCGAATCACACCAAGCCTGTTTTATGCAGAACAGAGCTTTGGAGGTCCTCAGAAACCTTTGCCTTCTTTCTCTGATGCATTCACCAGTTTATCTGTTTTGGGACATCATCTTTAAGTTCCATGAGCCGTTGTTCATCAAAAACTCATTTGAAACGAGCCTTTATACAGCATTCGACACAGCTCTTCATGTTGACTAAAATGTTTAATACTGATGAAGAACCAGGGCTTACTTAATTACATTAATACAGATGAAGGTGCAGAAAGTTGTGGCATATAATATTATGTTCAATTCCAAAAAAAAAAAAAAAACCCAGTATTCAAAGCAAAAGTGTTCACAGATTTGGGAATTCATTTATATTTGACATGTTTGGGAACTTCACTTAATATTTTGATGAACCCTTCCAATTATATAATCTTATTTCTCTATGGACATATTAAGTGTTCGATGTAAGATCTAGATGGTAATGAATACTTACATTTAAGCATCACTATTTGTCTTGACAGGACCAATGTTTTAAACGTGGTTGGCAGTCTGTGTTATTCTTAAACTAAAAATGGTCCTTTACATATTATGTAAGATATTACAAATATCAAGCAGTTTACTAATTTTGAAATTATGGCTTAGTGTTTATGGCTTACAGAATGAGAATGTGTGTGTATTTTATCACAGTTTGTAATGCCAAATGAGTAATGCTTTCCTTTTTTTACTTTGAGTTATTAACTAATCCACATATTTCAGAACTCTCATGTCCAGTAATTAAAACTGTCCAGGGAAATCGTGTAACCAGCAACTAATATCAGTCCCTGCTTAATTGCCTTTGGCCTTATAATGTTGAACTTATTGACTGAACTCTAGTCAATAGTCACTTGAATACTACAATTGTTTTGCTATCGTCGACATTCCCCAATTGAGTAAACAATACAGGACATAGAATTCCACCTAAAGCCAAAGGAATATGTTATACCTAATAGCTGCCAAATTTTTTACGTATTGAACTTGCCTCTGTAAGCAAATATGAGCATGCCCAAATACACTAATTTGCTAGCATGTAAAGTAGCCACTTAAAATCAAGCAGAAATGAAAGCATCATAAATATTTCTCAGAATGCAACTTTTGGTGAGAAGGGCAATGATAACTAAGTCCAGGTGGTCCTCTTGTTTTCATCTTGTCTTGCTATATGTTCTAAGGGCCTTTACAGCAAGGTTCTGTTCTAGAATCAAAAATAAGTAGAATGATTTTTTCTGATTTTTTTATTTTTATTATTATTTTTTTGAGACTGAGTCTCATTCTGTTGCCCAGGCTGTAGTGCAGTGGCGCGATCTCGGCTCACTGCAACCTCCCCCTCCTGGGTTCAAGCAATTCTCCTGCGTCAGCCTCCTGAGTAGCTGGGATTACAGGCACGCACCACCACGCCCAGATAATTTTTGTATTTTTAGTAGAGACAGGGTTTCACCATGTTCGTCAGGCTGGTCTTGAACTGCTGACCTCATGATCTACCCAGCTCGGCCTCCTAAAGTGCTGGGATTACAGGAATGAGCCACTGAACCTGGCCCTGATTTTTTGAATTCATAGTTTCAAGAGCTTTACAGCTCTGTCACTACTTACATTTTGTGATTTTTGTGGAATGAAATTTAATAAATTTGTGTAAACATACATTCACTGATGCAGTCCTTCAGTCATTGGACACCCATGTTGGGTGCTGGGCATTATTCTGGGTACTAGTGAAATAGATAAAGTCCTTGCCTTCATGGGTCATACCTTCTCTGTGGATAAAGACAACAATAAAAGAGAAACCAGATAAATGAAAAAAGTATGAAATACGTTGTTTGGATAATAAATCTGGGTAATACGGGGGAAATTAACTGTTATTCCTATATCATTCTGTAGCCTCCCCAAATATTAGGGGCTTCCAGGGTAGGATAATGTTTAAGACCTGTTTTCCTCTACAGATCTCTGAAGTTCCCGTCCCTCTGTTCCCTTTAATAAACAAATGTAATTGACTCTGATTTAGAGAAATAGGAGAAGCAGGATGTTTCAGTGATAAAGAGTTAAAATTCTTCATACTATAGAGGTAGGCCTTAGTTTATAGTAGATGAACTAAACAATAATCTAAGAGTCTTTGAAAGTTATTGCTACCAAATATCCCAATAAATGGACACAGAGTACTTTTGATTTTCTGCAACTATTGAATTCTTATGTGTATCTATCATATCTGTCATGTCCATAGACTGAAAATAACATATCCTATATGCATACATGTGCACTGGCTTTAAAACATTTATTGAATGATTTTCATGTAACAAAAACTGTTCTCTGAATTCTTCAAGGCATTATCCTTGTTGAAGGCTGTTGATTGATCATGAACCAGATACCGTTAAAATCCATGTTTATAAGATAGAGATTCTGTAAGTTCCTCAAAGTCTCCTGACTAATGTGCAGTAAGCCAGGATTAAACACAGGCATTCTCCCTCCGGAACCCAAGTCTCTAACCACAGCCGGCTTTCATGTAGATCCTATGGTAATTTTAAATGTTATTAAATTTGGCAAATACATAGGGTTTCTCATGTTCAAAAGAGTGGTGGGCCACCAGTCTAGATGATCCTCTGTTTATTATTTTAAAATTAAATTGCCCAGGTAAAAATATTCTAGAGGCTGTATGATACTATATCGGGGATACATATCACAATAAATTTGTCTAAACCCATAGAACATAAAATACCAACGGTAAATCCTGAAGTAAACTGACCTTTGAGTGATAATGATGTATCAACCTAGGTCTATAGGTTCTAACAAATGCACCTCTCTCTTTGGTGGCGTATGTTGAGAATGGGGAAGGCTGTGTGGTGGGGGGGATAGGGGACAGATGAGAAACCTCTGTATCTTCCTCTTCATTTTTCTGTGAACTTAAAACTGCTGTAAAAAATGAAATCGTTTAACTTATTTTAGGGTATCGAGATAAATCATAAAGGAGAGGCAACAACTGAGTCCACATAACATCTTAACAAATGTCACTGGTCATCCGCGACTAATTACAATTTTCAAATTCAGTAATATGCGTGTAAATAACACATGTGAACAGGGGCCAGTCCTCACTCTCAAGCATGGATGTAGGCTGAATGAAGTTATTTCAATGCCAGGAGTGCAGACTATAAAGGCTGTACAGGGTCAGAGAGAGAGGTTTTGGTAGAACTGCAGTGCTCAGGGAAACCTTCAGAAGACAGGCAAGCTTTCCATAGGAAGGGAAATGACAAAAATAACTTCGAGAAATAAAGAGTATGTGTATTCCATGTACAAAAATGAGTATTTGATAAGTCACGGTGGTCGAAGTTCAGACCCCAGGCTTAAGTGATGATGAGTTGGCCAGCTTGGTTAGTTAAGAACATTCCCATAAGGGGGAAGGGGGAAGATGACAGATAAGTAAAGGGAGCTTAATCACGTGGTATTTTAATACCTTCGTATTTTAATGTAAGCTGTGAAAGGTACAAGAACCTAGAACCTGTATGTTCATAGTGCTTTAGAGAAGTTTCCTTGGCTATAGATTGGATTTTGGAGTAAAATGTCTGAAAGATGAAAATTTGGCTGAGAGCTATGAAACGAGAATATCTGAGACAGGTCTCGGTCAATTTAGAAAGTTTATTTTGCCAAGGTTAAGGACGCGCAGTCCCGTGACACAGCCTCAGGAAGTCCTGATGACATGTGCCCAAGGTGGTTGGGCACAGCTTGACGTTACACATTGTAGGGAAACATGAGACATCAATCAATGTATCTAGGAAGTACATTGGGCTGGGCGCGGTGACTCACGGCTGTAATCCTAGTACTTTGGAAGGCTGAGGTGGGCAGGTCATGAGGTCAGGAGATCAAGACGATCCTGGCTAATATGGTGAAACCCCGTCTCTACTAAAAATACCCCCCCAAAAAAAATTAGCCTGGCATGGTGACACATGCATATAGATAGCCCCAGCTACTTGGAAGGCTGAGGCAGGAGAATCGCTTGAATCCGGGAGGCAGGGGTTGCAGTGACCCAAGATCACACGACTGCACTCTAGCCTGGGCGACAGAGCGAGACTCCGTCTCAAAAAAATAAAAAAAATAAAAAAAAGAAGTACTTTGGTTTTTGGTTTGGTCCAGAAAGGCAGGACAACTTCAAGCAGGGAGGGGGCTTCCATGTCATAGGTAGATAGGAGACAAGCTGTTACATTCTTTTGAGTTTCTGATTAGTCTTTTCAAAGGAAGCAATCAGATACGCATTTATTTCAGAGAGCAGAAGGAAGGCTTTGAGCTCTGTCTTTTGTCCACAAGGAAATTCCCGTGGACAAATCGTGAGGGAGGTACGTAGCAATTTTTATCTTAGAAGCTGTCTTTTTTTGGAATAGGATGGGAGGCAGGTTTGCCCTAAGCAGTTCCCAGCTTGACTTTTCCCTTTGGCTTAGTGATTTGGGGGTCCCGAGATTGACTTTCCTTCACAGAGTCTCCCTGAATTTGAAGTATGTGATGACATGGACAATAAAGAAACCATTTGTGACCTTTGAAAATAACTGCAAACTGTGATATTAGTGTTAAAAGAAAACCTAGAAAATAGAAGAGTTAAAAAGAATAGGACCTGGCCAGGCATGGAGGTGCACACCTGTGGTCCCAGCTACTCAGGAGGCTGAGGCAGGAGAATGGCTTGAGCCTAGGAATTTGGGGCTGTAGTGAGCTATGATCACATCTATGAATAGTCAGTGTACTCCAGCCTGGGAAGCGTAGGGAGACCTCATCTCTGAAAGAATAAGTTTTGAGAAAATGAATACTAAAATGAAAGATCACCCATTTGAAAAAATGGAAGGAGAAAAATCCCGTTGTTTTACCTCAATACCACTCTGCCTAATGGGCTGTTTTGATTGATGCATATTTAAAATAAAAAAATGTAAAATTAAAGAAGCAGACTCAAGTGAAAAAAGAGGAACAGTATAGGACTAATGTCCCCACATAGTTAGAGAAGAATGAGATTCAAGAGCTAAACAAGTTTGGAATATTGAGGCTGACACAGCCAGAACACACCTCCAGGAAGTCCTCCTACCATCCAGCTGTTTTCTCCACTCTACTCACATAAGATGCACCATGCATCCCTGTATCACATTATACAAAGTTATGATGTTTTTGCTATTCCTTCTTCCCTATCTACCTCTCCATGAACCTTGAACTTGTTATTGGCAGAGAACATTTCTTGCTCATGGCCGTCACCCAAGGGGTGAGCATGGTGTCTCACATTTCATTACTGAAACACTGGCCAAATTAAGGAATTAAGAGGAGCTTGAAGGGAGAGCAACCCTGACACTCAGAAGATTCCAGTGGGCCCTGGGAACTTCCGAGAGGATGTGGAGAAGAAAGCTGTGTAGTGTAGTCAGTATCACAGCACCCAGAGAAGATTGGCCTCTGGACAGGAGTTGACGTTTTCCCATGATGAGCTTTGTTCCAGGAACCATGGCAGAAATAAGGCAGGTGACCTCTTGGGGATTGGCCCACTGTCAATGAGGCAAAACTGGGAATCTGGTCAGTGTTTAAGCAATTAAGTCAGAAGAATACCATAGAGTCTTGTCTAGCACCTCACAGTATGATGAGAAAGTAGTTCATGACTGCTATGGTAGAAATTTAAAAATTTGAGAATTCCAGGGAGGGCCCGTATAAGAAACAATAGGAACTAGAATTAGGCATGATGTGAGATCATCCTGATTTGCACGTTATCGGGGGGTTTGCAGGCTGCAGGACTTTTCAGTTATAAAATGGTGACCATCGGCAAACCAGGACAGTTGGTCAGTCCTTGTCTGCTGCAGCCTCACGGACCCCACATGGCTTTGCCTGCAGAATCCTTGGAAACGCTCTCACCCATGGCTCACAGTCTTCCCGGCCCTCTTCATGTGGCTGCTCCTTGTTCCTTAACTCAGACATTATGTCTTAGATATTTTCTTTTTATCAACCCCTTCAACTCCCATGTGGTCGACCATAGCCAGGAGCTTCAAGGACGGTCTACTCTTTAAAAATCCTGGCCACGAAAAGCAACCGGGATATGTGTTTGGGAAGCAGAACCTCAGTTTTTTGTTTCGTTTTGTTGTTTTACTTTGTTTTTAATACATTCTTTTTTTGTTTTTAAATTTCCTTTAATGAGTTTCTCCCTTTCTCATAACTAAGAAAACGTACATCTTAAGACTTGACTGTTGGGAGTGGCTTGCAGAGGACTTGAGTGAGGTCGGTAAGTAGCCATGATTTCCCTGTGAGGTCAGGCCAGGGGCTGCTGGTTTCCAGAAGGGACAGGGGGCAGGTTTTCAGCAGGTGGAGCCCCTGGGCTGAGTACCAGGGTGCCAGGGGTATTCAGCATACAGCAAGTCCCATTTGTAGGGTAGGTTGTGTGCCCCGCATTATCATAATTCAGGATAGTAGGACTGAGCTCTGCTGTACAAGAGGGCACTGAAGATGGATTGAGACAGAGGAGAGCTCATAAAACGAGAGCTGCAGTTTATTTGCCATAAACTAGTTATAGGGAGTGAGGAGAAAATGTCCCCAAACTGAGTTCATGGCACCTGCCAAATCACAGGAGTGTGTTTGAGAAGTGTGAAAACACTGGCCCATTAAAACCTCTTCGACTTTATCTGCTGTGGTTAGATTTGAACAATGATTTAAAGGTTAAAATTTAGCATTCCACTGCTGGGCTAGATAGCTACAGATTCCCAATGTAGTGTACCTGGACCTTCAGGAAATTGGGTTGAAAATAAGCGTAGTTAAGGCAGGCAGGTAGATGTTCCTTTCACTCCATCAAGGCAGACATGACAGGCATAGATGGAGTGCAGAAAATAATTTTTGCCACAGTTCCTGGAAGGAGAAGTGTGGCCATTTCCCAAGATAACATAACAAATGGTATTTGCTCTATAGAACCCTTTTCATGGGACATAAGGTCAGAAGCGGGGAAAAATACAAATAACCTTCACAGGCGGAGAGTTCCATCAATGATAAAATTGTCAAGAAGGATGTTATCAAGATGAATATAATTACTCAATATGTTGCAAGAAGGTGGTTGCTTTAGTAATAGGTGTCTATCTAGGTGAGTGGGCCCAGTGACTTTGAAATAACAGCCTGTGGTAGAGGTTATCAGGAAAGAAAATTAAACTAAGGCTTACAGCTGAAATTCACACTCTCCACCTATTCATTCTGCTGACAGGTTGGCTTTCCCATTTAATTTCTGCTCACCAGCCCATCCCTAGGAGTTTGCTGCTGATTTGCAGTTTCTTTGGGTAACATTCTTTGATTCCTTCACTTCCTTCCCTTGCAGTTAAAATGTCCTCTGCTATTTCATTCTGTCATAAAGATGGGGAAAATCCATTTAAAAATACCCAGGTACCATTTTAAAGGTGCATGTTTCAAAGCACGGCGTAAAAATAATTTTGGCCAGTCACGGTGGCTCATGCCTGTAATCCCAGCACTTTGGGAGGCCACGGCAGGCAGATCATGAGCTCAAGAGAGCAAGACCAGCCTGGCCAACATGGTGAAACCCCACCTCTACTAAAAATAGAAAAATTAGCCGGGCATGGTGACATGCACCTATAGTCCCAGCTGCTCAGGAGGCTGAGGCAGCAGAATTGCTTGAACCCGGCAGGAAGAGGTTGCAGTGAGCCGAGATCGCACCAGTGAACTCCAGCCTGGTGACAGAGTGAGATTCTGTCTCAAAAATAAAATAATAATATCAAGATTTCAGATCCCTGTGAAACAACTGCAGTATAATGATTCAATTCATAAAATCCTGCTGAAATGCTGAGATTATTTCACAAAAGGATTGTGTGAATAACTGTATTCACATGACTGAGGAACAAGCATGCTTTTTGCTAAAATATAATATTTTAGAATTCATCCTTTTTCTGAAGTGCGATGTGTCATGACAGATAGATTTTCCAGGAAATACCACTCAAATATCATAATTTATATTACCCAGTAAAACTTTTAAAATACAAATTTTGATATTTCCTTAAATTCTGCAACTTTCTTCTTTTTTGGCTGTTGAATATTCTGAAATTTTGAATGTGTTAGCAACATTCCCCCATTTACTCATTCAAAACTATAGGTGAAGGGAAGTAGCTGTTTTAATTTTTTCCACTGCTTTTTACTTAAATTAGTCACTAAACTGTTAGGTCGTCCTCTTCAGGATTGAAAGCAAGGGAAATTTCATTAAGACTTGTTGGTCTAGAAATTTTCACAGCCTAAAATCATGCAAAGAGAAAAAACTGCACTGACATGTAAATAACACTGTGAGGGTAATCTTAAATTATGAGCATTGTAATAAGTCTTTCACAATATCATGAATTTGTTGAAATAGAAAAACAAATTATAGAAGGCTTTGTAACTCTTCTCCGTATAATGTTACCAATGCTTCAAACCCATTCTCTTCTCTAAACCCATTGCTTTATTTATTTATTTTTAAATTACGATTCTTTAGCACTACGCTTACGGCAGTAATACAGCCCACTTCCTGCAGGGGAGAAAGTGATAACATTTGTAGCTGTGTATTAAAACAGGCTTTCCTTCTTACCTCCATAGTAGTTTTAATCATTCATATAAACATACAATGAGTCTAGTATTAAAGGCACCAGAAAGGGACTTTTGTGACCCCATAGATAAATTCCATATGGAGTTAGCCTAAACCACCATCATTTTAATAGAAGAGGTCATCAGGTACAGAAATAACTGCAGCCAAAGACGATCTGCAGTTCATTTGGCCAGGAACCAAAGCAAAGGCATTTCGCAAAAAAAAGATTACTTGGGTGCCTCAGATACAGTCTTTGTCTTACACCTTTTCTGTCCTCTGAACTAGAAAAGATCTTACTGAACTGTGTTATTCAGCTTTTCAAAAATGTATTGTAACTTGAATATTCTTAATAATCCTTATGATACTTTAAAACTTCTCTGAGAAGTTATCCAAGAAATACGTCATAAAGAAAACCCTTTTTTCCCCACAAATCCTTCTAATATAAATGCATACCCATTAAATCATGTTTTCTTATTTCTTATGAAACATATAGACAATTTTAGATGACAAATATGACTCTACAATGTGGAAAAAATCATTCTGGAAATGAGCATTATGAAGATCAAGTATTTGACTAGCAAAACCCAAATATACCTTCCTACATATCCAAAATTAGGGAGCTGGTGAACTTTGTTTCCATACTGTTACGCTTGGTTTAATACATGCAAAATCACCTCACAGTAGGATCTGAACACAAAAGAATAAACCTATTGAAATTTCCAGATTTGGGGCCTGTTACCTTTGCTGAATTCAGGCATTATATGATCACTAAGTTACCTGTTGGGTTGAGAACAAATTTATCAATACAGGTGCAAATGTATTCACTCTTGAATAAAGCAAGTTATTATGTGGACAGCAGAAGATTGTATTCATATGAACAGACAATTTAGTTCTATAACTTCCTCTGGGTAATTGATACCAGAATTGGAAAATGGCCATTTCTTGAAAAATAAGAAAGTGAATGCTTTAATGGACAATCACATTCTTGTGCTGTTAGCACACTGACGTGAGTTATAGAATTTATGTCAATCTTCATTTCCCCTGTCTACAACAGGCATCACATCAGACCACTTGCGATGTTTACAGAGCTGTTCTCACAAAGCACGGGGAGTTTTGAGTCTTGGGTTATCTCCGCAGTGCTGTAATTGACTCACTGCATGAGGTAATGAGATGACATTTGTGGAGTGCTACACGAATCTCATATGAAAATAACTATGTAAATAGGAAGCATTGTTCTTAGGTAAAGACCCCCCCAAATGGCTCTGAAGTCAACATGACATTCAGTTGAATAAAATATAGGGAGTGTTCACTCTCTGACTGCTGCTTAGTGGGAGACCATTTAATTAAGAGCCATTTTGGAGAATTTTCCTTGGTATTCTAATGAAGTTCAATGCATTTTGCTTATTATCACCATACAAGTGCTTACGCCTGCTGGCAGCAGGGACCCGGGGAGATGGCTCACCCTTCTTGGTTTGGTATAGCAGGTGTCAGAGCATTAATTAGGCCACGCTCAACCTGATAGTCCATTATTTTGGGCACTTACAGCTTTTTAGTTCTGGTGACTTGACCTGCATCCCAAGCCCATGCTTTTTCAGTTTTTTGACATAGATTCATTATGTTAGATCAATATACATATTGAAATTTGTATCTGAAGCTAAGACGTAAGATATAAGGATTGATATTTAAAACCCAAAGAATCTTGACTCTCGTACACTCACAAAAAACTCCTAGAATCAAATACCTTAGAACCTTAGAATCAAATACCTCATACAATCCTCCAATTTCTACATGAATGTAGAAAGCTTTAAAACTGGGTAAGAGAGTGAACTGAGCCATAGGGCAATCAATTAGATATCATCTAAAAATGGAACAGTGTAGGTACTTGAAATACACACCAGATAGAATCAAGAAGCAGTGAAAGATGCTACAGATAGAGTTAAATGTCTAGGATGTGAAAGATCAACCATCACAATTCACATATGACATGTCGTTATCCAGATTGGCTCCTGACACAGGCATGCAGGAGATGAGTGTGTGTGTGTGTGTGTGTGTGTGTATGTATGTATGTGTGTTTGTGTGTATCTGTCTGTGCATGCATTCCCTGAAATCATTAGTGAAGGAGGGTGACAAAAGGAGGGAACCAGAAATAGAAGAAGAACCTAGTGTGGAAAGGGGAGGTGACTCTTTCTGTTTAGCTATCTTGAAAGATCAAAAACAGCGGCAGCTCATTTTAAGCCTTCACGGATTTAGCTGTGAGTAACACTTCATAATTCACCGGGAAAATACAGAGTAACTACCTTTCTTGTTAAATTCTTGTGATGCTCCTATAAAATTTCTGCAATTTCTTATTTCCCAAATAAACCAAGAAACCTTCCCAGAGATCGTGTCTTCTGGCATCTCTTCTACAATTTGCTTCTAAATTGATCAGGTGGACTTAGTGTTGACTAAATTATCAACATTGAAAGTTTTTCATTTTCTTTCCACTCTAGTACGTATTTTTATGACATTTGTAAGCTATATCACGTTACTTAATGTACTTTAGTCCTGTTCGATCTGGCTCTTCTCCATCTATGCATCTGTCTTCACACATCATCCTCTGTCCTCAGTAAGGCTCCTTGTCCTCCTTCATCTGATAGTGCCAGCATCCTGTGGCTACCAGGGGCCTGGAGATGCAGTCATCAGAAAGCCTCTTCCTTGGCTCTGATGCTCACACTAAGACCCCTGCCTCTCTGGCTGGCAGCGGTGCTCTTCCCTGGCCCATGGTCTGTGTGCTATGGCAGCTTTTATCGACCACAGAGTTAGCCTGCACAGGGGCCGGCTCGCCTGAAGCTCAGCCTCAGAAGACATCTGCCATGGGTGCATGGAGTTCGCTGGCTGGTGCCATGTGCCAGCATCATGAGTGGTCTTGCCACCTCCCTGTGTGCCGTTCAGGACTGGAGACGTGTCTCCTCCACTTCCAAGTGCGTCTCCATTCTTCCAGCACCAGGAAATCCACCTCTGTCTGGTCTTGGGCCATCGCCTGCTCAGGGTTTGCCTCCTTCCTTCTCTCCCTGCAGCTCATTGCATCTTGAGGCTTTCATGGTTCTAACCTTTCAAATGGGTCTCTGAAGCGAAGGAGAAGGATCTTTTCTTCTGATCTTAGGTTCATGGCTGAGGCCCCCATGACAAAATAGTTAAAAGCCTACAAATTTATGTAATATGAGCCTTCGTAAGGAAATGAAAACCCAGAGCAACAGGTCAACTTGTATATTTCACTTATGGCTTTGATGAAGAGGTAGCCAGACGTCGGGACGTGAGACTGGACGAAGGACTTGTGATCTAATGCTTATAAATCAGCAGGGATGTAGCAGGGGCTGTTTGCTCAGGTTCTTCGCTGTGCTCCCGTGTTTTCAGAGACAGGTTATTTCTTTTCTCTAGGTATGGGGAGGCCCCCTCTCGCACAAGGCCTACTTATGGCCTACATCGGGGGAGAAGAGCAAGGGCAGGTGACAGTGGCCTTCCTGCCTCTGCAGTTTTCTCAAATGTCAGAGTGCCATATTTAGGGTTAGGGTGTCCTGAATCCAATCAATCAGGAATGGCATGATTGCATATATGTTCGTTTTAATGGGCCGTTGAAAAGAAAGCATTCCTTCACTCTCGTGCTTGGCAAGAGGAAAATCCAAGACAGCTCCGAAAGAAAAGCCTTACTAACTCCAAAGGTGAAAGAAGGGTACGTTCCTTGCACTGCTTCTCTTCTTGAGTGTAGGGAATAGCACATAATTTGGCATCTCAAATTTTCTGACACAGCTTCTGTAACGAAAAAGTGAATGACACAACCAGAGTCATCCAAGACAAGATAAAACTGCCAATTACCTCCCTTCATAAAACAACTGTGGAATTAAATTGAGAAAATAAGGTTTTAAAATCAGCAGTCTTTGCCGTTTTTATTTGTGTTTATAACAACGTCAGTGCTTTTAAAGATGATCCAGTAAGTTTCTTCATAGAGTTCATTTTGAGAATCAAGGTGGCCATGGCCCAAAGGGAAATCAACCTCTCTTTTAGCAAACCTATAAATATGAGTCATGGCAAATTGAAAGTAATGGCAAAAACTCCAATTACTTTTGCACCGACCTAATAAATATTTTTTTCTCACCAACAGATTTGAAACGTAATTTCTTAAAAAGAATGTTCAGAATTTATTTTACCGTTTCACTTCCTTGTACTCAATTTTCAAATTTAATTGATTTTGTTTCCTGTGAAGTTTCTCTGTGAAGTACATGGTGTGATGGTGTGCTTACGTTTTTCTTTCTTTCTTTCTTTCTTTCTTTTTTTCTTTTAAAGAAGGAGTCTCATTCTGTCACCCAGGCTGCAGTGCAGTGGTGTGATCTCGACTCACTGCAACCTCCGCCTCCTGAGTTCTAAGCGATTCTCCTGCCTCAGCCTCCCGGGTAGCTGGGATTACAGGCACGTGCCACCACACTCAGCTAGTATTTTGTATTTTTAGTAGAGATGGGGTTTTGCCATGTTGGCCAGGCTGGTCTCGAACTCCTGACCTAAGGTGATCTGCCTGCCTCAGCCTCCCAAAGTGCTGGGATTACAGGCATGAGCCAACACGCCTGGCCATGATTAAGTTTTTGATATGATGCATGTGGTAAGTAGACCTGTACTTGTGTTTATTTTCTCCCATGCAGCACTTTGTTTACGGCCATTATTCTCATTTGAGATTCCTTGTGCCCTTTCTTGTCCATTATGTTTGTTTACAACATACAATGATTATTTCCATTGCCTTTATGAGTTGAATCTTCATAATAATAGAAGGCAGTAAATATGTTGGAGTTGCTCGATAACTGGGTAAGGGTCAGAAGAATCATGTTGGAAGCTGCTATATTTGATTTCTGAGTCCCGTTGTTCTATGTTAGTGTCACTTTTTTTCTTACTATCATTAAAATAGGCTTCCATTTCAGCAATTGGGAGCAAATGTAAAAGGCAAGATTATTAGTGAATTTTACAGTTTTGTTGAGTAAGTGATTGATTAGTAGAAGAAGAAAGAGTAGCACAGGTTTGTCTATTATATTCTTTAACATGAATAAGCTATCTCTTTTTTACTTACTGTTCTCAATAATTAAAATTGCAAAATCAAATCAGTTGAAATTTATGATTAATTATTTATAGTTCAAAATATTTTTACAGCTATCCTTCATTCCCTGAGACAGGGAAAGCGTATGTATGATGTTTCACATGTATTATTTCACTTAATTGCCTTATAATCCTTACATTCAATTAATATCATTCCTAATTTTCAAAAGAGGGTTCAGACAGGCTAACAGGGCCAAAGCACCCAGTATGAAAGTGGCAAAGCCTAGATTTGAAAATCTCTATGTTTTTTTGAAAACAGAGATTTATTTGAAAGTAAATCTCTCTCCAGCCGGGGTGATCCAGCAAGACCCCGTCTCAAAACAAACCAAAAAATTATCCATTTCAAAAAGCAAGATGCGAGCTTTAAGGTTTGGAAAGTATTGAAATTTGATGAGTAAGTTTCTTCATAGAGTTCATTTTGAGAATCAAGAAGGTAGGTTATATGTTGTTGGACAAACAGAAAACCGATTTTTACCAAGTCTGCGCTCCTATTTTTTGCACGATTAAAAATCAATGCACACTTATTGTAGAAAGTTGTCCGAAGTATAAAGAAGAAAATCCACTGAACTTCTCGTGTCCTTATTCATAAATAACCTTATGGTATTTAAGGTTTTTGCATTCCTTGTCTATTGACGTGTGTATATGAAATCATTATCATTTTATGTAATATGCTTTTTCACTTGTACAAAATTCCCTGGATTTTTAAATGTTCTTCTAAACTTACAAAAATTGTAAAATGCCATCATACTGATGTACAACCATTCACTTGAGCAATACTCAGTCAGTGATACTGAATATTTTCTCAGATTTCACTGTGATAAATATCTTTTGATTAAAAACTCTTCTTGTATATGACATGCTGCTCACATATCTAATTAGTCCTTTCCTATAAAGTTCTTGACAATTAGTGATCCAAATGAACAGATTCATATTCCAAGGAGTAATTGTCTACTTGTTCTTATTTTTACTGCCATTTTTTCTTGTAGCCTTAGTGCCTAGAAAAGTTTCATAGATGTATGTCTGAGCTAATTGTGCAAAAATGGGAAATTTACTACCAGTAAATCAGGACCCCTGGTGGGACCCCAAGGAAACAGAGCCACTGGACTGGCTGGGAGTCCCCACACTCCAGGGCCGCCTTCTCTGCGAGGTTCCTCGTCATTTCCTCAACTGTCTGATGAAAGGTTTTCTGGCTCCACTACCAACAGTGATTCACAATAGAACGTGCCTCTAGGTGCTAATTTACTGTCCTGGCACAATCCCTTACAGAGATGGGATAGCCTCCCCTGTTGTCCACTCTACTTGTGCAGGAGTGGAGTCTGATAGACTTCCCTTAATCAAGTGTGTCCTTCAGGATATAATGAGTGTGTAAATGTAAGGACAGGTCTCAGAAAAGGAGAGCAAGAGGGTTTCGGCTTGGAGAACCACTCCAAATGGGCCTGTGTACCTAGTTGGAAATGCATTTACTATTAAATGTACTTTGGATTTTGCTTTTCTTTTTATCTTAATTACTTTTAACATATCTTTCTGAAAAGGAAATTGAGATCATTAGACTCTTCATGGTAATACTAAGTTGTTTCATGAACATATTACCCTTAGAATAAGTAAAATTTGTAAAAACATTAACAGATCAGAACTGACCATACTAATTCATAAGTTACATGTAAATAATAGTACAAATTGAAACTTCTCTTAATTTCTAAATTCTATGCCACAATGACATTGGACTATTCTAATACTTATATTTCACAAGAAGTGAGATAATTTGGATGTGTTTATGTGTGACTATATATATATATATATATATATATATATATATATATATGAAGATACTTATTGCTCCTAAAGAAATGAGAGAAACATTTCTCTAAAAATGTTCCAAAGTTATTAAAATATTAAGAAAATATGTAGTCACTATTTAGTAGTCTTTGGATAAAAACATTTCAGTGTATTTAGTTTAATGTGAAATCATATTCTTATATATAATGTTGCTTCGTATATACTTACTGAAGGATTTAAACTATTTTTTCAAGCTAAGACAGCAACGTAATATTGGACAAATAATATAGAATTAGAGTATCATTTTTCCAAGGTAAGAAGCTGTACACTATTGTGATCTGTAATATCCTAAAATCCAAAATTACAAATAAATACCTTTAAGAAGCCTATGTCCTTAGAGTGTTCAGACTGCATCATACATTTATGTATTATCTTATCTGTTTTTAAAACAACTGTTCTAATTGGATTTTTTTCTGATGCTAATGAAAAACATTCTTTTTCCTGTATCTTTCATATTATTCTATTTTTCATATAGAAATATTATTCCTATGAAAAAAAATTCATAGCAAATCATCGAAATTTGAAAATTACTAAATGCATACCTGAGGACACAGATACACAACAAGTAATTTAAATACAGCATTCTGACTAATCAAAAAAAGCATTTTTCAGTCTAAGCACAGTGGCTTGTGCTTGTATTCCTAGAACTTTGGGAGGCTAAGGCAGGTGGATTGCTTTAGCCCCAGGAGTTTGAGACCAGCCTGGGCAACATAGTGAAATCCCATCTCTACAAAAACAATTCAAAAATTTAGCCAGGCATGGTGGTGTGTGCCTGTAGTCCCAGTTATCCAGATACTTGGGAGGCTGAGGCATGAGAATTGCTTGAGCCCAGGAGGCGGAGGTTGCAGTGAGCTGAGATCACCCCACAGCACTTCAGCCTGGGTGACAGAGTGAGACCCTGTCTCAAAATAACAACAACAAATTTATCCAATAAAATGACATAAACCTTTCAAGCGTATTAATAACGCTTTCCACAGAAACACAAGAAAGCAAAGAAAATAAATCAACACTTCCTAGTGACCAAGCACGAGGTAGGGCTTACTCTGAACATTTGTTCTGAGCATTTTTTTCTGCAGAGTTACCTTCCTCACCTTACGGAGGAGAAAATGGAGGTTATCAGAGGTTTTATGACTTTCTTAAAATTATTTAGATAACATGGGGTAAATACCTCTTTATCTTTTCAGAGGATGCTAATTTTTCACAATAGGTCTAGGCTTCTTTTTTGTTAATTCTGCCTTAAAGTCGGGTTATTTTGTATGAGGAAAAGGGGGGATGTATGAGAGCAGGATTGACGTGCCAGCAACCAAGCACATAGTGAAGCCACAGAGTAATATTTACCAGGCTCGAGTTCCACTCGTCGTATTTTCAATAGCAAGCACCAGAAAGCACAACTAACATTGGCGTAAACAACAAAGGAAAGATCTTGGCTTACCTAACAACGTATTGAGACATCATTTGTGCTCACCATTTGTGGTTTCATTTCACCAAAGTCCAGTGACTGGAAAAGCTGGGGTTTTGTAAAGATGATGGAAAGAGGGAAATAGATACTGAAGAGACAGCAAGAATGCCCACTGAAATTAGCAAACCATATTGGTGGTTTCAACACCACTTATATCAGATATTGTACTACCTCTTTTCAAATGTAACGATACAAAGTAGAAGTTAAAAGCCAAGCAGACTGGATTTATTCATATCGATATCTAGGGTCTTATTTTCAAATGACCTCTCTCATTTCCTACAGAAAATGCAATTGCCAAAAATAGATTACCTTCTCAAGAAGTATTGTTGGCCATTCATGCCTATGTCAAAAATTGTTTGCTTTCATCTTCGTTAATCAGGAGAGACATTAATTATTTTTCATTACGTAGCCATAATGCAAGTTAATTTTTCTGAATTTAAAAAACAAGGAGGTTTCCAGAGGTTGCATGACTTTCTCATTCTCTCTCTCTCTCTCTCTCTCTCTCTCACACACACACACACACACACACACATCAATATAGATAGATTAGGGGTTTGTGTGTGTGTGTGTGTGCTTATCATATCACATTGAAAACTATCTTAGGGTTGGGTACAGTGGCTCACACTTATAATCCCAACACTTTGGGAGGCCAAGGCGGGTGGATCACCTGAAGTCAAGAGATCAAGACCATCCTGGCCAACATGGTGAAACCTCGTCTCTACTAAAAATACAAAAAATAGCTGGGTGTGGTGGGCCTCACCTGTAATCCCAGCTACTCGGGAGGCTGAGGCGGGAGAGTCACTTGAACCTGGGAGGCAGAGGTTGCAGTGAGCCAAGATCATGCCACTGCACTCCAGCCTGGCAACAGAGGAAGACTCTGTCACAAAAACAAACACAAAAACTATCTTAGAATGTGGTGGCCCCCTATCAAGCTGGCTCACCATCAGCAGTTCCAATTTCCATTTCTCCTTCCTCCCTCTCTATAATTTAATGCATCTGCCCAGTGTCATCAAGTGTGAAGGTACGATGATGAGAACATGGTACGTCACTCAATGTAGTTTCAAAGGGTGAAGGAAATTCACCAGAAAGTGCACTTGTATTGAACAGTAACATTAGTAGGGAAAGATACGAGGTTGAATTAAGTGACCCGGTGCTTTCAGATTTTTGATTCATATTACTTTTTCGGTCGAATTTTCCTTGTAAAATATTAGTGATAACATAACATGTATTTTTGAAAATCAGCGGAATGTCCAGAAGCACAGCATGCATTTTTGCAGAACACAATTAGATCTGAAGAAATTCCTAAGAACAGGTCTGATTCTACATACACTGCTGTGTATATTCATAGTTGTCCTTTTACCAAATACTGTGCAAGGTATCTATGATTTGTGAAATATATTTAAATCATGTTAATGTCATATTGTTTTATTCACATCATTTGCATACATTGCTAAGATTAAAGTACTTGAAGAGTACTAAAACAAATTACAAGCTGTTATCGCTAATATTCTAGAAATATGGTTCTAAATCTGCCCTGTTAATAAAAACTTGCAATTAATTTGGGAAACAGCAATCTATTTTTAAAATTAAATGAGCATTTCTATTGCATTTATTATGCATTGTATATATTTTACATATTTAATCTATTACATATTTAAATAAACATTTAAAATAATTATGCATTTTATAATATTTATACACATATTACTTAGCATAAAGCTTCATTTAAAGAAATAAGTAGTTACAGAAACTAATAAATTTCAAATCCAGCAAAAATCCACTGAGTGTCTGGGTTCTTGTAGATAGTTATGTTGTTTGATCCTCCTAACTTCCTAGTAAGATATTATCTTTTGTAGATACATTATCATTAAAGAAGGACGATGATTAAGAGAACTTATTGCAGTTTTCATAGTGTGAAAAAAATTATCTGTGCTCCTCAAATTTGGCATTTTGGGGCCAATGCCAGAAGCGAAGTCTAGACTCATGAAATTCTAGAATAGTGATAGGTATATAGAGGGAGTGAGGATGACTAGTCTAAAAATAAACAGGGCGGAATTACTACTTTAATTATTATTTTAATTCGTTGTTAGGCACATCCATTTTAAATTTCAACAAAGTTAAAAAATGTTTAATATTTCATTGTTTATCAAAAATGGGCAGAAGGTGTCAACTTCGCCCTTCATGCATCTGCAGAGTAAGGTCAAGCTACCTTCTCGGGTGTTCACGTCAGCAGCTGGACTCAGGAAAGCAACAGTGCCATGTGTCCAGGGAAAGCCCTGCAAAGACAGCTCCCAGAGCCAGATTCAATAGAACTTGCGTTGTGGTTGATCTTGGCCATATCAAGAAGGGAAAGTACATTGACAGAAAAAGAAACTTGCGCAGATGACCAGATGTGAGGCTACCTGAGGGAGGAATAGAGTCACGAACCTCACTGTGATCTGGGCAAACAATGAACCATCTTGGGCAGGTCCCTGTTGTTCTGTGGGTGAGGTTGAGAGTCGGCAGCACACAACTCTTAGCATAGCTGGTAAGGTTGGCTGGTTTGGTTTATGTAGTTAAGTACAATCTATTTGTTTGTCAAATATTACTGTTTGTAAACTTTTTACAATGACAGAATTTCAGTTACTGGGCAGTGACTGAGGAAACATTGATAGCAAAAACCACACCCTTGCTACATACAGGTTAAAGGTAACTTGCTCAAAGGTAAGACGAGAGACAACTTTCCTGTAGATATTTATTTTGAAATTAGCACATGTGTTTAACAACAGGGTCCTTGAAGACATTTTTATCTTATTTGGATGCCTTCTGTTGAAAGGTATCCATTTCCCTGATAAATAAATAGGTAGCACATGTTTTTAGTAGTAATGTAAATGCATATTGTAATTTATTTCTTCACTTAATTTCTGAATATAATGTTAGATTCCATCAAAAAGCAGAATTATTGCTGAAATTCACTGAACATTAATTCTACAGTAACTCAAGAACTATCATGTGTAGTTACCTGGCCATATAAATGATAATAAAAATGTGATAGTTTTTAGTTTTGTTAACAAATTCTTTTTTTTTGTTGTTGAGACAGAGTCTTGCTCTGTTGCCCAGGCTGGAATGCAGTCACATGATCTTGGCTCACTGCAACCTCCACCTCTTGGGTTCAGGTTATTCTCATGCCTCACCCTCCCAAGTAGTTGGGACTACAGGTGCGTGCCACCACACCTGGCTAATTTTTGTATTTTCATTAGAGACAGGGTTTCACCAGGTTGGCCAGGCTGACCTCGAACTCCCGGCCTCATGTGATCTACACGCCTCAGCCTCCTAAAGCACTGGGATTACAGAAGTGGCCAAAAAAAAAAGAAAAATTCTTTTTAGACTGTTTTGCTCCTTCCAGCTTGATAAGAGAGTTCCTTTAATTCATATGTGGGTGTGTGTCCATGTGTGCTGTTACTAAAATAGTTCCCATTTGGTTTTATATTTGTTTGTTTATCACTGTCTCTGACATCAAACCATGGAAGGCAGGCTTTATGTCTATTTCATTTTTTTTCTAGTGTTTTATACCTACGGAATCAATATATAGTTCATTAAATGTCACACTTTACAGCATTCAGATGTGTTAATACTTCATTTTAAAGACATTCTTCAGCTTCGTTTCTCCTCCATCCTTGCCTCCTTTTTGTTCTTCTTTTGTCATTTTTACATTACCTTCTGTTTTCCATTCTCCTTTTTGCTCACAAGTATTTGATGAGCATCTGTTGCCTGCCAAGAACTCTAATGGGTTTTCTGCATCTAACGGTGAGTCAAAGTAGAACTCATGAAATTCACAATTAGTCAGAGAGATTAATTAATGATTACATAAAGAAATATAAAAATGCAGCAGTGATAAATGCTATAAAGAAAAATTACTTAGGCACTATGAAAGCATCAAAGTGAGTATTCTTGATGTAGTGCAGATTATAAGGAAATCCTTCACTGGAAAATTTCTTCTGGCTTGAACATATAAAAATGATTAGAGAATAACTATATAAATTGTAGTGTGTTGAAACAAGGTTGGAGAGAGAACGAGAGAGAGAGAGAGAATCTGTCTCTAATTCAAATGCCTTATGTTGAAACTCTGTCCCATTATCCAAGATAAATAAATAGGTAGCACATGTTTATAATGATAAACTAATTGTATATTGTAATTTCTTTCTTCACTTTAATTTCTAACTACATTGTTGGATTCCTTCAACAAAGTAGAATTATTTCTAAAATTCCCTGAGCATTATTTCTACAGTAACTTAAGAACTATTATGTATAGTTACCTGACCATATAAATGATAAAATCCGATAGAGATATAATGTATATATTATTTTATGTATCATATATATTATATATGTATATATGATAGATATTATAATATATATCCCTATATATATCATATCTCTATATATAATTCTATATATATAATTCTCTCTATATAAAATTCTATGTAAAATTCTATATAAAATTTTATATATATATAAAATATATAATATATATTATATATGATAGATATATATAATTTCTCTATATATATCATCTCTCTCTATGTATATAAAATTCCTGTATATCTAAAATCTCTCTCTATATATAAAATATGTATATCTCTCTCTCAATATATAAAATTCCAGGACAGAAGAACAAAACATTCAAAGCCATTTTATAAAATGAGCAACTCGCTGAAGAGAACAAAGAAAAGCTTTGGTGGGCTAAGAACAAACTAAGGGCAGGAGGGCTGGGGGAGAGATCTAGAAACACAAACTATGACGTGACATTGATACGCTACATAGGCTATAATAAAATTGTTCTTTTTTCCTTTGTAACTTGGAAAACAGATTGCTGCAGGTGCGAAAGGAGAATGGAGATAAGAAGTCCGTTAAAGGGTGCCGTGGTAGCTGGTAGCTTGTGCTAAACTGGTGCTAGTGATGATGTAGACCAACAGGAAATTATGAGATATATTCGGAAGGCAAAATTAGCAGGACCTGTGATAAGTTGAAGGAGAGTTGAAGATAGGAATGAAGACATACTCCAGCAGCTGCAGAGGCTCCCAGAAGTGGTTGAGGGGTGGATGGGGAAGTCAAAGTCAAGGACATAGCTAATATTAGGGCAGTGGTGCAGTTCAGGGCAGATGGATACAGGAGCTTCTGTTTCAGTGTTTGGCAGGGAATGAGAAACATGGCTAATTTATCTTAATATATAGAGGGAGGGTGTCATAAGCAAAGGAGAAGAGCAACTCTAAAGAATCTTCAATCCCAAGTACCACAAAACTATTCAATGCCTAGGTCAGGGTCTATGACCTTGATAATATAGAAAACATGTCTGTTTATATGACAAAACATCTTATGCATAGCAGAATTGTGTAATTACCACTCAGCAATATGGGGGATCATCGCTTCTCTTTCTACTTTCTAGGACTGTTGAAAGGATAAAAGTGAATAATTTGCTTCAAAAACTGCAAGGCCAAATGTAAAGCAAATGTGAAGAATTGCTATTATCTATAAAAGGCAGACACATCCATAAAACAAATCATTCAATCCAGGCTTAACGTTTATTTTTCTCTTTTTCTACTAGTATGATAGTTTAGATACTTTTTGTTTAGGAAACAATTAGGCACCTTACTACACTGCATAAATGTGATGATTAGAGTACCTTTGGCTTTCGTTCAAAGAAAACAGAGTACCTGAATGTAAACACAGGCTTACTGTTGACAAGTAGAATGCAATGTAAGGGAGTACAGATGAATAGGGAAAATATGCAAAAAAAATACCAAATATAACTCTTGGATTTTTACTTAAACAGCTCAATTTTGAGATTGCCAGAAAGATATCCTGCTTACTTTTTTTATGTTTATTCTGTCCTCATTGTAATCACTGCTGCTACTACCACCTCAACTTAGGCCTTTATTGTCTCTACATTGAAATATCAAACCATTCTCAGAACTTGTCCCTCCATTACAGTCTTGATTCTGGTTTGATTTATGACTTGTTATCCGTGTATTGTTCTTTATTTAATGTTCTTACAATCCTGAGGCTCAGCAAAGTTAAATATGACAAAAACAGTCAGCCAGCTCAGAAATGATAAACTTAAGGTTTTGCCCTGTATTTTTCAAATGTCAAACATTTCTCTACACTCATTTATTTTACAAATAACTTTTGATGTTGATAACTCTCTTTAGGCTCCAACAATGCCCCTTCAGAGATAAGAAGTGAAAGTTTTAAGTGTTTTAAATACTGCATGGTGTATAAGTATTGGAAAAAGAATTGTTCACTAGAACAGGTTAGGTTCTAAGGTTTAAAACTAAAGAAAAAACTGAAACTATATAAATGTTATGTGTTAGTCAGCTCAGGCTGCCATAACAAAATACCATGGATTGGGTGGCTTAAACAACAAGAATTTATTCCTCGCAGTTCTGGAGCCCTGTGCGTCCAACACTAAGGTGCAGCCAGTTTAGTTCCCTGGGGAAGGCTCTCTTCTTGGTTTGGAGACAGCTGCCTCCTCACCGTGTCCTCTCATGGAGGAGAATGAGGAAGCAGCCTCTCTAGCATCTCTTCTTATAAAGGGACTAATGCCATCATGAGAGTCTCCACCTTCTAACGTCATGTAAAGCTAATCACCTCCTAAATGCCCCACCTCCAGATATCACATTGGGGGCTTAGCACTTTAACACATGAATTTTGGAGGGGGACACGATTCAATCTATAGCATGCTGATACTCTAGGCCAGGAAACCTTGCATTTTCTTCTATATGTATTTGCACTACTCTCTTCTACATTCCATATATTAGGGTTTGTTTTTGTTGTTGTTATTGTTGTTCTGTTTTGTTTGTTTTACCAAACACTATTATTTGTCTCCTTGGTGTTCCTGATTTGCACCAAAGCTTCAAGTACCAGAACGGTTAGTGGTACATCTTTGTTCAATACTATTATGGTCAAGTTGCTCCTCTCCTGCTGATTTTACTGAGTACGTACTGTTCCCTCATTCCCTTTGAGCATTTATACACACAGCCTCCTCTGCCAGGTGTTTGAGACCTTCCCATCCTGGCATCACCCTACCTGTTTCCACTTGCCTTTACCTTCTTCAGAACTTTTTTTCAACCTATCCTGGCATCAACCTATCTATTTCCACTTGCGTTTACCTTCCTTAGCATTTTTTTCAGCCTCAATCCAGGTCCATCCCTGTGCCCTGCACATGCCAGACTCAACATAACCTCCCGCTTTTTTCAACTCAGGACCACTAGGTCCAACCCCTCCAGTGAACAAATAATTGTATGGCCAAAATTTTGAGGTCTGACCATTAGATCGATTTTCCCACCTCATCTATGGTTCCAGTGGACATCTGCTGTGAGATGGCCAATGTTTGAATCTGGTTTATATAAAGAGAATAATGCATATAAGTGAGAAAGTCTCCATTTAGAATTTTAATAATAGCTTTATTGAGATATACTTCTCATACCGTAAGATTTGCCTCTGTATAGTGCACAATTCGATGGTTTTTAATATATTCACAGAGGTGTGCAATCACCTCCTTTATTAATTTTAGGGCTTTTTATCTATCCTCCCAAACCCTGTATCTTTCAGCAATCATTACCATTCCCCAGCCCCTCACTTCCATCACGGGCAGTCCCTGGCAAGCACTCAATTGCTTTTAGTCTCTGTGGATATATGTATTCTGAACACTTCATACAAACTTAATCATACAATGTGTGACCTTTTGTGACTGGCTTCTTACACTTAGCATTATGTCGTCAAGATTTAATTGACCAGCTGTGGGTTTTCTTGGGGGAAAATGTTGAGGAAGCATTAGCAGAGTTGATGTAAATGAGGACTAGAACCACAAAGCATGATTCCTAGAATAGAGGTAGTCTGTGAATTGCCCCCAGAGTTTCCCCCAAGCACAAGGTAGAAAGTAGGTGCTAGATATTAAAGGGGAACTAACTGAGAGCTGTTTTGTAGGAAACTCTTCCAACAAAACACATAGCAATCATTTCCTGAGGTTTTAGATAATGTGGCCAATGATATCAAGTGTGCCTCAACACCTCTGGGCCCTAGGTTGGAAAGGAGGATAATCCTTACAGATGGCAGCAGGTCACCTATAGACAGCATGCTAAACCCTTTCAAAGGATGATCTGTAAAACTAACTTTGCCCTGGAGTCTTTGGGTCTTGCATTTTATGCGTTTTAATAGTTTTTGTGACTTTTTCATGAGAATTCATAAGGGACTCTTACAAAAAGTTTTTTTAAATAAACATTTGGCATAAATTTTAACATTGTACCTGATAAATGTCTTTTCTTTCTTTCTTTTTCCTTCCATAGAATCCCTTTTTCCCCTCAATGTCCTCAGTTTGCTACAGATGTGTGTGTGCCATGTCACCATGCTTGTGTGTTGTTTCACCTTGTGTGTGTGTGCCATGTCAGCATGTTTGTGTGTGTGTTGTGTCACCGTGTGCGTGTGTGCCATGTCACCATGTATGCATGCATATGTGTATGCCACTATGGAAACGTGTGTGTTATGTATGTGTGCCGTGTCACCATGTATGCATGTGTATGTCGCCATGTTTGTGAATGTGTTTGTTGTCTCATGTTTCGGTGTGCTCCATGTTACCATGTATGCATGCATATGTGTACGTCACTACATACGGGAGTGTGTGTGTGTGTTTTGTTACCATGCATGTGAGTGTAAGTATGTGTGTCATGTCACCATGTATGCATGTGACTGGGTATGTCACTGTATGAGAGTGCGTGTGTTGTGTCACCATGTGTGCATGTGTGTGCGCAGTCTTACTTCCTTTCTCCCCTTTCTCCCAAAACTTTTTCAAGCACCTGGCATTATTTGTTATTTTATTCTTTTTAATTTTTCTGCATACGTAGCACATTTTATTTACAGTAGGGAATCAGCAATAGTCTTACACTTTCTGTGATTGGTTGTTTACATTATAGGTGCATATTTCACCAAAGATCCTTATTAAAGCTTTTTTTCATCAGTAATATAAAAGGAATTATTCTCCCTCTTTTCTCATTGAGAAAATGGGTTATTTTACATACACTACAAATATTTTCTGCCCATACTTCAAAGTGTGAGAATGTGAACAGGCTCTAAGTCTCTTTACAGTTACTTCAAGTCAGCATCCAACCCATCTCACCTTTTACCCTAGGTTGAGAAATGAAGTTCTAGAGAAGTTTTCATTTGGGAGAGCACAAGAGATCAAAAGCTTCCTGATATGTGTCCTGTGACCTGTGCACATATAACCTTCTCTGCAGCTGCCATTGTCCTCTCTTCCTGAGGTTCCAGGACACTTGGCAAATGGAAGCCAGCAGGTATTTCACTGTGTGAGAGCCTCATGCAATGGGAAGATCAGTGACCAGGTCCTGTCACTGTAGAAAGCCGAATTCTTAAAGGAAACTCTATCTTTCAACAAAAGGTACAGGACTGCCTTGGTGTCATCACTGTCATGCTCTCAGTAAGCCACCCAAACCATGCTGGATGTTCTGAGAAAGCAAAACACTGCCTACCTCGGCGAGGTGCTGCTCCCTACTGAGAAAGCTGACCCACTCCACTGGCATGCTTGGCAACTTAGTGGAGGGTTTCTATCTTCTCGTTTTTAAGATAATTTAAAAAGATGAAGCATAAATGAAACTCCTCAAACGTAAGTTTTTCGCTGGCTCCTTCAGGCTGAGAGCCTCCTGGAGGAAAGCAGGCATGCTTGTGAGCGTGCAAGCACACACACACAAGCACACACACACACACAAGCAATACTTTCTGACCCATATTTTGAGGTAAGAAAAAATAAATCTATAAACTGAATCATGAAAACAGTTCCATTTTAAAACGTTTTAGTTGAAGCTCTCTGTGCTGAGAGAGGAACTGTTGAAGATAACGTTGTTTGAGACTATTCAAAGTGTCTGGTGAATTCACGTGGAGAGGAAAAAGTGATGCTTATTTGGAAGCTGGCCAGTCACACTTTGCCGACATCACTGCTATTATTCCAGAACAGTGGCTTTTCTGTCGTGCTTCCAGAATTATCACAATAAACTTGTCTGCCAAATGTTAATTTTTCTCCTCATGAAGAGTTTCTAGTTGATTACACAAACAGACTTGGGTCTGTAATTTTTTTTAAGTAGATAAACAGCATCAATTAGGTTTAAAAAACAAGAATAAAGAATTGCCATGTTAGCGTTTCCCTAGGGCCCATTCAGTAACCTGCCCTAATAGTCACCAAGAAATTATCTAATGACTTCAATGGTAAAAGGATTGAATACTTCATCTTGAAAGGAAACTACTAAGAGGAATGGAATACTAAGCATCATAGGTACATAAATCATGCCGCAGGATTTGAAGAGAGAATACTGAGTGCAAATGCAGCTAGTTTTTCAAGCCACAGATTCAAACCAGCAGGGTTCTGCTTTGTAATATTTGCAATGACTGTGTTGAGAATTATTAGTGGATAAAACAGCAGCCAATGTAGGCAAGCTTAAGGAGCTTCTTGATAAAGCTGTAGTCAGGAGATAGCATGGATGTCATATGACTGTTTGTTATATGACTGCTCAATTAATAAAGCTATCCTTGTCACTAAAATTTCCTTGTTAAAGTACCCCCATCAAAACATGCCACCACCAAACACAAACACGTTCTTTTGCTCTTCTAAGAAAAGAGTATGACTTTCATCTGAGCACATGAAACAAATTATTTTTTTCTTTATATTATAAATTTTTGTGTACTTGTATTTCTCAACCACTTAGAGCCAACTATTTTTTTCTGGTCTGCCTTAAGAGACGTGAATCCTATCAAACCTATCATAGTAATATTTGGATGAACATTTTATATTATAGCAGGTAACATTTGCATAGTGATATTATCAAAATGCATGTCATACAGAACTGCCTATAGCAAAGATGTGCTTTATTTTTATATTAAGGGTAACGATCAGAATATAAGACACAGTATCCCTTGCAGTTAGCACTTTTAATTATAATAATGAATTCAAGTGGGAGTAGTTAAAAGACCACCACGTATCTAGCTCACAGGACACACATGTTTGCTCCTTGACTATCCAAAACACACATTTTCTTTCCCATGACTTCACTTATTAGGAGAACATGTATTTCATTATTAGCCACAATCTTGACACGGTCATAAATAAGACAAAGTCAGCTATTCCCTAGGGCCAAGGCCACAAAAACCATCAAAAGAGGCAAATGAGAGCTTCCAGGAGACTAAAGGCCATGCCTCTTCTACATTATCCACACAAAGAACATGAGAGAAGGCATAGCAGAAATATACATGGAGGGACTTTAGTTTGCAAAAATTAATGTGAGTGTAGGAGATGAAAAACTATATTTCTAACCCTACCCTAATCAGAAAGTTTGCCCTATCTTACACTTGTGGACGTGGGGGCACCAAACCAGCTTCCCTTTCTACAGAGTTTCTCCTAGCAGGGTTCAGATGGTTGAGTTCATTTGTTCTGGAGCAACACTTCACTAGTGTTAATAGATCTTCAGCTCAGCAGCTCCAATCCTCATAAAACATGAAACTCATGACTTTCAAAAATAAAGGAGTATAGCACACTGGGGCTCTGCACCTTTCAGCAGTTCTAGAAGCCCAGAAACCTGAGGAGTTCTGTGATTTGGCTAAGAAACCATTCTTCTTGGATGTCTTTCCAAATATTGCTACTTAAATCATTCTCCTTCTAGAAAAATATTTGCAGTACCCCCTACCTCTGACCCTAAGAAGGTGAATAAAACTATGTAAAGAGGGTTTAAGAAAAGAAACAGCAGAAATGTTCAAGTTAGCAAAAAACCAACAGCTTCATACTATAAAATGTTAAGAACTTTGTTGGAAGGTTAAAAAAAGTTTCTAAACAGAAATACTTAGTAGCTACCCTAATGCTTCCAGAGTGCTTCTCTGGAGATGGGTAAAAAAATCTCTGAAAATTCTCATTGATATGTGTCAATTTGGAAGAAGTGGGTAGGCAGAAAGGAAAGATGACTAGATACGGTTGTCCACATCCTGAGTTCCAAGTAGTTGTTCCTCAGGAACTAGAAAAACAAAACTACAACTATTTTCTCAAATGAGGAGAAATCATTTGTATGATTACCAAAAATCTCATCGAGAAATACGGATTGGAGGAATTACCAATTGGAGTGTACCTTCTGGGTAGAGCTAACTTCTTGTAAGGATTTTTAGTGAATAAATATAAACGATAACAGAGGTAAAAATCAGTAGTAAATATGTCTAGCCCCCATCTCTGTCCCATTAAGGGAACTAAAAGCAAGAGAGACAGCAAGAGAAGGCAAAGTATTCACATCCCAGCCCTAAAGGAAGCGAAGAAGGAAATAGGGAGAAAACACATGCCAAATGCAGATTTTTTAAAGCTGAAGTAAAGCTTTATAAGTCTGTAAAAATTAAGAGCTGTGTAAATTCTGTGAAATATAAGATGAAAGTAATATTTCAAAGGAAATGAGTGAGATTAAAAGGAAGATTAGACACCTAAGAAACCAAATTAGAAATAAAGCTAACACTAGTTCAGAAATAATAGATGAATTAGAAAAAGAGAATAAAATAAAGCTTCAGAGATCTGAGGAAACAGATTCAACCTGAATTTAATAGAAAATACAGAGATAAACATGGTAGAGAGAGGATAACAGATATAGAGAAGAAATCATGGAGAATGTTGAGCACTTCATTGAGGGATTAAGGAAGAGAACACTGGAAATGGAAAACTATCTAGAGAGAGGTTGTAGGCAAACTGGTAATGTTTTATTTTTGGGAGGCTGACGCGGGGAGATCACTAGGTCAGGAAATCGAGAACATCCTGGCTAACACGATGAAACCCCATCTCTACTAAAAATGCAAAAAAATTAGCCAGGCGTGGTGGCGGACGCCTGTATTCCCAGCTTCTCTGGAGGCTGAGGCAGGAGAATGGCGTGAACCAGGGAGGCGGAGCTTGCAGTGAGCTGAGATCGTGCCACTGCACTCCAGCCTGGGTGACAGAGCGAGACTCCATCTCAAATAATAATAATAATAATAATAATAATAATAATAATAATAATAATAATAATGGAAAACATCAAAAGCAAGTTAGAGTGCTGTGTGTGGCAGTGGCTAGAGACGAGGGTTCAAGGCAGCCCAAGAACCCCTACCAATGACAGTGCTGTGATCATCCAAGAAAGCTAAGTTACAAAATGGAAAAGCCTACAAACGTGGATGAGATTTGGGTTTGTGGTTTGGGCTTTTCAACGGAATGCCCCATTATCAAAGTTGGAAGGATCAGAAGCCATAACAGAAGTTATTATACTCAAATCCATGGCAGTGCAGTTGATTAAACTTCAGAAAACTCATTGAGTTTGATACGAGGCAATATCTGCTAAAAGCTACACGTGCAAGGTAGAATAAGATTAGGTCAAATTAATACGTGTTAATGTTACAAAATAAGAGATGAGGTATTTCATGTAGAATCGCTATAGCTTAAAAAATGGAGTCGAAAATATTGTAGATTTTTAACAAATGCAATGGCAGGTAAAAGAATTGTTTCAAAGACGTATGTGTGAACCAGGCAAAGATGGCCACTCTAACCACTGCTATTCAATTCCATTAGCAGTTTTAGCCGTGCATTAAGGCTAGAAAAAGCTATAAAAGGTTTACAAATTGGAAGGATAAAATAAGATTATCTTTATTCACAAAGGACGTAGTCTATGTAGAAAAATTCTAAGCAATATACAAGAATGTTACTGAAACCAAAAGAGTTTAATAATGCCATGTGATTTAAGGTCAATATTTTAAAAATCCATTGAATTTCTTTAACCAACAATCACTGAAGAAAATTAGAATTTGTATTTTTTTAATCCCATATGCAATAGCGTTCCAATACATAAAGTACTCAGGGACAATCCAAGAAAATATATAAAAATCTGAATTTTGAACTACAATACACTAATATAGGAAAATTTTAAAAAGACCTACATAAAAGGAGGGTATATCATGTTCATGAATTGGAGTACTTCATATTATTAAGACATCAGTTTCTTTTTTTTTTTCTAAATTGTTCTCTGGATTCAATGCAATCCAAATCAAAATATCAGCAGGCATTTTGAAGAAAAGGACAAATTCACTCTCGAATGTTTGCAGAAAAGCAGAGAATCTAGAATGGCCAAGACAATTTTAAGAAAGAAGCACTAAATTGGATCACTAACACACTCTGATTTCAAGATTTCTTTTCATGCTACAGTAATCAAGACTGTGGTATTGGAAAACATGATAGATAGATAGATATAATCTATGGAACAAAATAGAGTCCACAAATAGGCCTACATATATGTGGCCGAACAATATTTGAGAAAGGGGACAAGGTAACACAATGGAGAAAAAATAGTCTTTTCACCAAAGGATTCTGTAATAACTGGACCTGTACATGTAGAAGTTTAAAAAATTTACTTATATCTCACATTATACACAAAAGTTAACTCAAAATGATTGATATTCTTACATATATAAACTAAAGGAATAAAAATTACATAAAAATTTTATAAATGCTTCACAAATTGAGGCAAAGAACTTTTTTTTTAATTAGGTAACACACAAAAAGCAGGAGCACTAAAATAGGAGTTTGATAAATCAGACTTCATCAAAATTATAAAGTTCTGCTCTTCAAAACACACCGTTAAGAAAATGAAAAGATAGACTACAGAATGTGAGAACGTTTTTGCAAAATACATATCTGATGAAGGACTTGACTGTATGAAGAACTCTCAAATCTCAGTAAGAAAACAGCACATTTTAAAATAAAAAATATTTGGACACTTTGTTTAATTACAGTTATGGATTATTTACTATTTTCCTGTTGCTTATATAATAAGTTACCACAATATTATTGGTTTGAAACAGCATAAATTTGTTATTTTACAGTTTTAGAAGTCAGAAGTCCAAAATTGGTCAAAAATCAAAGTATTATCAGGATTCTGTTCCGTTCTGGAGGGTCTTAGTAAAAATTCACCTTTTTGCCTCTCACAGCTTCTAGAGGCTGCCCACATTGCTTGTCTCCTGTGCTGTTTCCTCTTCAAACCAGTAGTTGCTGATTGAGTCCTTATCATGTTGACTCACTTTCACACTGACTCTGCCTCCCTCTTCCATGTTAAAAGCCCTCTCTGATTATATTGGGCCCATCTGGCTATTCCAAAATCATCTTTCTATTCTAAGGTTAGCTTATTAGCAACCGTGATTCCATCTGTTACCTTGATTCCCCTCCACCACATTAAATAATATATTCACAGTTTCCAGGAAGTAGGACTTAGACATCCTTGGGAGGTCATTATTCTGCATCCCAGGATGTGCTGTATGACAGGCACATCAGAAGATGCTCAGCGCCCCCCAGTCACCACAGAAACGTTACCTAGAAGCAAAATGAGATTGTCCTATGTGCCAGTTACTATGGCTTAAAGCAAAAACAAAAAAAATGACAACAACAAGTGCTGCTGCCGATGCAGAGTTCATGCAATATTACATATTCCTAATAGGAACGCAGAGTGGCACGGTCATGTTGGCAAACATTTGGGTCATTCTTGTAAAGTAAAATATATACCTACTATACAATCCTGCAAGGTCTTCCTAGGTAATTACTCAAGATAAATGAAAACATGTCTACAGGAAGACTTTTACATAAATATTTACAGCAACTTTATATTTGCTAATAAATGGAAAACAAACACAAATATTAATATGCAAATGGTAACCACATTGTTTAATATTCATACCATAGAGCACTACTCAGAACAAAGAGGAATAGATTATGGATCCATGCAACAGCGTGGGTGGACCTTGAATGCGTTATGCTAACGTGGAATAAGCCATTGCAAAAGGCTGCATGCACACTGTATGATTCTATTAATATGACCTGGGAAAGGCAAAGCTACAGAGATGGAAATCATATCACTGATAACCAGCTGCCACCCTCTGGGGGAGAGGGCTGACCACAGAGGAGCAAGAGGATCTTATCAGTGTGCTGGGAATGCTTGTGTGTTAGCTGTGGAGTTTGAATCTCTCATGGTTATGGGTTACTCATGGTTATGTGTGACATAACTTTCACGACTCATGGACCCGTTCACCTAAAACGGGTGGTTTACTTTTTGGAAATTAGTCTTCAGTTAATTTACCTTACAAATTTCAAAGTCAGCAAAGGGAGAGGAAGGCCAATCTGAGAGAAAAGAGAACCAGCCAAACTTTGAAGTTTCAGAGAAAGTGAAGGAGAGGAAGGTCGTGGGAGAACAGAGCTCTGAAAGAAGCCGCCAGGGTTTGGCAAATGGACAAACAGAAAAGACCTAAGAAAGCAAAAAATGCAGGAGGTTTAATCTAGATTGCCAGAAATACAGAGGGCAGGGCTGGGTGGCAAGGTGGAAGGAGAGTAAAGGGAAACTAATACCTTTTCTGCAAATTAATAATTAAACAGTTTGAAAATTAAAATATTTGGTAATAATAAAATGAAGAACACGATGAGATATTATTTTCCTTTTTCAGATGCTACAATTTTTCAATATATCTAAAATTCCCAAACACATTCCTAATGCAAGTTTTTTATGTAAATAGAAACTGTAAAGAAGTAATATATATACATTGTGTTTTATAAAGTTTGGATGGATGTAATCCATTTGAAATGCATACAAAGAAGATTTTCCCTCACCATAAAGATGCCATAATTTCCATAGTTCCAAACTATGTGAATAATTTGATTGTCTCTATAAGATTAGCATCTACACTTTTATATAAAATAAAATTTTGCTTTTATTTTTGCTGTGTATGGCTCCCAACCTGTTATAATAATAAGCACATGTGAATTTGACGTGACAATCTGAGAACTCTTGAAAACATTTTCTTTTCCTTTAAAAATGTATTTATTTTTGTTATTTATTTATTTCTTTATTTTCAAGACACGCTCTTGCTGTATTGCCGAGGGTGGAATGCAGTGGTATGATCACGGCTCACTGCAGCCTTGAACTCCCCAGGGTAAAGCAGTCCTCCCACCTTAGCCTCTGGAGTAGCTGAGACCACAGGCGGGAACTACCAGGAACATTCAATTTTCGTTTCTACTGTAGACATGGGGTTTCACCATGTTGCCCAGGCTGGTCTAGAACTCCTGAGCTCAAGTGATCCGCCCGCCTCAGCCTTCCACAGTGCTGAGATTATAGGCGTGAGCCACCGTGCCCAGCATTGAAAATCTCTTCTTACTAGTCACACAGAAATAATATTTTAGTGTTTCTTAAATGTCCCCAAGATAATGCAAAGATGAAAACTACTCCCTGGGCTACTTTGAGATGCGCAGGGAGAGTATCTCTCTCTTTACCAGCTGGTGTACCTGTCCAGGTGTGAGAAATTTTAACAGACTCTGATGAGGCTGTACGATGACGCACACACAGAACCCACACAGTTCACAGAGGCGATTTCATGAGGTAGCTTCATCAGAACAGCATTGTGTTGTGGATCTCTTGCCCGAACCAGAAACAACAGGAGCCACTTCCTCAGTCTTATCTGGATTAGCTTTCCAATTTCCATCCCAGTGGAGCCATCGTCAGATGACACTGGATTTTGAGAAGAACCCCAGGATGCTTTTCCTGATCCAGCCCAGGTATTTGTGAGAATCTGAAGTGTCTGACGATCCTGGATTTGTTCTGCCTGGAACCAGAGGCGCTCTGCTACAGCACTTAGTGCATTAGTCCATTCTCACGTTACTTTAAAGAACTACCTGTGACTGGGCAATTTATTTAAAAGAGGGATTTAGTTGACCTGCGGTTCTGTAGGCTGGACCGGAAGCATGGCTGGGGAGGTCTCAGGGAACTTAAAACAATCATAGTGGAAGGGAAAGTAGGCATGTCTTCCTTGGCTGGAGCAAGAGGAAGAGAGTGAAGGGAGAGTTGTCATGCACTTTTCAACAGCCAGGTCTTGTGAGAACTCACTAGCATGCACTATCAGGACAACAGCAAGGGGAATATCTGTGCCCATGATTCAATCACCTCCCACCAGGCCCCTCCTCCAATATTCAGGGTTACTACTGGACATGAGATTTCGGCAGGGACATTGACCCAAACCAATCACTTAGCATCTTCCAAAGAGTCCCTTAGAGGAAAGAAATACCTGTAGATTCTACGTAGTTTTGCTCTGCTCTTTCCCCTTTAAAAAGATGGGCTTTGTCCAATGTTTGCTCTGGTCCCTAACTTTGTGTTATCGTGTATATACAGGTAATGAAAAGTCAGCAGTAAAAATCGGGCTGGGATAATGTGTCTCAGGCTTGTCTTGCCAAGAGAACCAGCACTTCCCAGCTGATCCAGTGGGTTTCCAGAGGAAATGACACAGATCCCTTCTCCGTGGCGTCCTAAGCCCACGTGATCTGGCCCTCCTGTCCTCAGGGGTTGGCTTACTTGACTCTCTCCAGTCATGTTAGTCAGCTCTGGGCTGGAACAGAGATTTTTCAGGGAAATCAAAACAAAACAAAAGCCTTCTCCACATGAAAAAGGAAATCATGTTGAAGAACATTCCTTAAGAGTAACCTCTTTAGCCTTTCTTTCCTTTTTCTTTCTCTCTTTTTGTCTTTTGGCTAACTCATTTTGGAATAAACACTGTCACCCGCGTTTCCACACCATGACAAGTGTCCTGCCACAATGTTTTGATGATGTGGGCACTCGTTTGTCACCTGAGCTTGAATCCCTGGTGGAAAAGGAATGTGAGCATCATCCATAGGAACGGTGGAGCAGGAGGTGTATGTGACGAATAATTGCGTAACATCTGAAAGTGCAGTGTACAAATGCTCCTGAAAGTAGACCACAAAACGAAGTGGCGGCTGAAAGGGGTTTTATATTTCTGAAGAACATGATGTGAGAAATCGTAGCCGTCAAGACTGGCATTGTTGGGCACATGAATGACATCTTTACATTAGCATTCTCCAGGGAGACGAGCGAAAGTGCCTGAAAAACACAGATGGACTTTTCACCACCAGAAAGCACCAGTCTGCAGAAACAAAGTGCTTCACTGGAGAAAATAAAAAGAAATTAGTGTTATTAAAAGAAAAGCGTGTCAATGTGGTCTTTTTGTAGAATCTAATGCCTTTTCCTCAGCAATTTCAGGAACAATGCATGTTCCTATAAATCGCCCCCTCTGCTTTCCCTCATTTCCTCTGAGTAATTCATTACTCAGTTACTTTTAGAAACCTCTTATTTGTCTACAAAATAAAAATGTTTATTAAATTTGGTATTAATTATAAAAAATCATTATAGCATAACTTTGCAAACATGTCAGGTTATTAGACCCTGTTTAAGGATTTAATAGGGGGTTTTCATTTCCTTTGAAATTTATATATTGTACTGCAATCTATTAGAAAAGAAAAAGTGTAATTGTGGTGTTTCTCTAGTCCCAAATTTTTATCTTAATATAATGTCTCAACACAGTTACATCATTGACCTGTGTATGTCCATGATATAATTGTTCATCAAACATTGCTAATAGAGCAAAATTATATTGAATATGTTGTAATAACTCTGTAACTATGTAGAAACTGTCAATATAATCCTATTAAAAGATACTGATTGTGATTTACGTATATTCTTGTCTCAGCATGCTACCGTCCTTCATCTCCATGATAACATTAACATTCTACAACTTCTGTTACCTAGGACTAACATATTCTTCATGCTAACCGTTTTTTGGATATAGGATTATTACGATTTAATGGTCTTATAAAAACATTGATCTTAGTCTATATTTTGTTTTGAAATTAAACTTTTTATTTTGGGACTTTTTTACATTCCCATGAAGTTGTAAACAATAATACGGAGAGATATCTTGTATCTATTGCTCAGTTTCCCCTTACGGTAACATCTTGCAAAGCCAGGAAATAGTACAACATCACAGCTAAGGTATTGAGATGAACACATTGGAGATACAGAATATTTATATCACTACAAAGATCCTATTCTCATGTAGAGTCACATTCACGTTCCTCCTGACCCCACCGCCTAACCCATAGCAATGAATAATCTGTTCTCCATTTCTATATTTTTGTCACTTCAAAAATGTTATAAAAATCGAATCCTATAGCATACAACGTTTGAGGATTGGCTTTGTATACTCAGCCTAGTTCTCTAAAGATGTATCCAGTATATGGCATGTATCAGTCAGCAGTCTGTTTTTATTTGTTGTTATTGTCGTTGTTTTATTGCTGAGTGGTATTAGATGTTATGGATGTAACACAATTTATTTAGCCATTCACTCATTAAAGGACATCTGGGCTGTTTCAGTTTTTGCTTATTCCAGATAACGCTGCTATAAAATTTCATGTGCAGGTTTTTGTGTGAATGTTGTCACATTTCTAGGATAAATGCCTAGTAGTACAATTGGTAGGTTGTATGATAGTTGCAGGTTGTGTTTTATAAAGAAACTGCCAACTGTTTCCCGGGGTGGCTGTGCCATTTTGCATTCCAACCAGCAATGTATGTATGATCCATTTTCTTCTTATGCTAACCAGATTTTGATTTTATCATTTTTCTTTTAAGCTTAGCCATTATTGTAAGTGTGAAGTGATATCTCATTGTAGTTGTAATTTGCATTTCCCTAATAGCTAATGTTGTTGAGTACCTTTTAACATGGTATTTGCCATCTGCCTATCTTCAGTGAAATGTCTTCATAATTTTGCCCATTTTCTAATTGGATTGTTGGCTTTATGGCTGAGTTTTGAGAGTTCTTTATAGATTAGAGATGTTAGTCCTTTGTCAAATATGTGATTTTCAAATACTTTCTGCGGTCTGTAGCTTGTCTTTTCATTCCCTTTACAGGATTTTTCAAAGAGGAAATGTTTTTAATTTTGCTGAACTATAATTTATAATATTTTTTATTTTATAGATTGTGATTTTGGTGTCTATTATTTTAAAATTATTTTAGGTATTCCAGTTCCTTTGTCTTGCCCTATACATTTTAGAATAATCTTCTCTATATCTGCAAAAGTTGGGTTAGGATTTGTAATGGAATTGCAATAAACCTGTGTGTCAATTTTGGGATCATTGATATCTTTCCTATGTTTACTTTTCTGACATGGTATCTTGCTTAATCATTACTTTCGTGTTTTCTGGTTTTCAGCAAACACATCCTGTATGTGTTTTGCTAGATTTACACCTAAGTATTTTTGAATGGCTTTAAATTGTGTTGCGTTTTTAACTCTTCTGTCCATGTTACAGACTTAATAAAATCACTTACTGGTTATGGGAATTTCTTGGTAGATTCCTTGGGGTTTTCTACAAAGAACATTATGTCATCTTTAAATATGGACAGTTTTATTTCTCCCTTTCAGATGTATATAAATTTTATTTCGTTCCTTTTTTTTTTTTTTTGCACTGGTTGAGAACTCCCAATTATATATTGAATAAGAGTGGACATCCTTTCTTTTATCCAATCTTAGGAGAAAATCATGGAGCCTTTCACTATTAAGTATAATTATAGTTACAAGTTGAGTATATACTCCTTACCAATTTGAGGAAATTCTTCTTCATTCCTAGTTTTCAGAGTGTTTTGATCCTGAGTGGGTGTTGAATTATGTCACATGCATTTTTTCCCTGATGGACATGATTTTTATGATTTATTTGATTTTTATTGTTTAGCATGTTAATATGGATGGTTACATAGATTAATTTAAAAATTATTAAAATGAAATTTACTTAATATAAATTAAGCATTCTCAGGAACAAATCCGAGGCGTCAGTACATTCACAATGTTGTATAACTACCACCTCCATCTGTATGAGAAACAGTTTATCATCCAAAAAGGAAACCCCATACTCATTAAACAGTCACTCCCCTGTCGCCTTGGAAATGGCCTAGACTCTGGCAATCACCAATCTGTTTTCTGTGTCTATGGATATAACTCTTCTGGGTATCTGATATGTGTGAAATTGTACTGTCTGTGACATTTTGTGCCTGGCTTCTTCCACTTAGCATGTTTTCAAGGTTCATCCATGGTGCAGCCTGTGTCAGTACTTCCTTCATTTGTGACTGAGTGGTATTCCACTGCAAGTCTATGTCACATTATGTTTGTAGATTCTATTGTTTTGCTGTTCTGCATTTTTAAATATATCTGCTCTAATCTTTTTAATATTTCATTTTACCTGCCAGCTTGGAGTTTATTTGTATCTCCTTTCTCTAATTCCTTCAGTTGTATAGTTAGGGTGTTAATTGATCTTTTCTTCTTTTTTAATGTTGGTATTTGCAGCTATGCATTTCCTCTGAGCACTGTTTTTCTGATTCCATATATATTTTTGTGTGTCCTCGTTTTCATTTGTCTCCAGGAAACTTTTTATTTTCTCATGGAATTTCTTCTTTGACCCATTTTTGTACTTACATTTTTAATCGGTTATTTTATTTGTATGTATTTGTGAAGTTCTCTGGTTTTCTTGTTTATGTATTTTTGTAGTGTACCATTTTGACTTCCCTCTCATTTCCCTTTATGTATTGTTTTCAGTTATTGCCTTCGTGGTTACCACAGACATTACAATTCACATCCTAAAATCATAACAATCTAGTTCTATTAATATCAACGTATTTTCAATAACATAGAAAAGTTGTGCTCCTATATAGCTCTAGACTCCCAACCCCAGACCATGTTCACATAGGAACATATTATATCCTCATAAATTGTGTTACCATTAACCCAGATGTGTGGTGATTGTTTTATGTATTTGTCTTTTAAATCATATAGAAGAAAAATGAGTTAGAAACCGAAAGTATAAGAATAGTGACTTTTATATTTACCAGTATAATGACTTTGATTGTAGTTTTTAATTTTTCTAACGGCATTGCTTTACTTTCCGAAGTCTTTTTATTTCATTGTGGATACTCCGCACTGGCATTCATTGTAGCATTTTGCTTTTAAAAATTTGTGAATATATTTATTTCTAGTTTATCAATGTCTGATTTCTGAAGCATAGTTTGCTGAATGTAGAATAGTGAGTTTGATAGAGTTTTTGTTTTTGTTTTTGCTTTTTTGCGTCACTGCTTTAAAAATATACTGCCACTTGCTTCTGGCCTCCAGGAATTTTTAATGAGAAATTTGCAGGTGCTCTTTCTAAGGATCTGTTGTGTATAATAAGTTACTTCTGTCTTGCCATCTTTAAAATTCAATCTTTGTTTTTGTCTTTCAAAATTTTATTAAAATATGTCCCAGTATGGATCTCTTTGAGTTTATCCTTCCTACACGTATCTGAGTTTCTCGAATGTGTTGATTTATTTTGATTAGTAAATTTTGGAAATTTGCAGTCATTTATTCAAACATTATTTCTGCTGCTTTCTCTTTCTCCTTCCCTTTTGGATTTTTTATTATGCATATATTGTTATGTTTCATGGTGCCCCATGTGTTTCTTAAGCTCTGTTTATTTTTTTCCCTTCTTTTTCCCTTCATACTGAATATTTTTCTTCATACTGGATATTTTCAACTTTCTTAATTTTAGGTTTGTTGATTCTTTCTTCTACCTGCTTTAACCAACTTTTGAAACCTTCTCATGAGTTTATAGCATCAGTTATTGTACTTTTTATCTTCAGTATTTGTATTTTTTTATAACTTCTATATCTGTAGTGACATTTTCTGCTTGTTCAGATGCCATTCTCCTGGTTTCCTAGACCTTTTTGTCTATGGTTTCCTTTAGCTATTTGGGTGTATTTTAAACAGTAGGTTTAAGTCTTTTTCTACTAATTCAAATGTCCGTGCTTTTTCAGGGAGAGTTTTTTTTTTTTTCATTTCTTTTGTGAGTGGGTCATATTTTCTTTTTGTTAATGTTTTATGATTTTTTGAGAACTGGCCATGTTTACTATTATACATTGGTAACTGTGCAAATTAATTTTATTTATTCTTCTTGGGAATTGTTTTATTGCTGTAGTTATTGAATTAAATACTTTTAAAAACAATTTTTATAAGGTTTATATTCTTTTCTATGTTTGTTCTTTGAAGCCTTTGTCCCTTTAACTAATGTTTAAACAGCGTTTTGACAGAGATTTCCATGAATGCCAAGAGTGCGTGAGTGAGAAAGAGAGACAGAGAGGGAAGGGAATGGACATGAATAAGAAAGAAAGGAAAAGAGAGGCAGAAAGGAAATACAAAACAAAAATGAAAATCCTCTCTCAGTCTGCCAGTTGACCCTTTGTGTGCTGGGCCCTCCTTCAACACTTCGCCAGGCTTTTTACAACTCTGCCTTAGTTTTTCCTTCTTGTTTGCACTGAAACTACTGCTCAACCAGGTGTGAAAGTTTGGGAAAATTGTGAGGTCTTTTCTGAGAGTGTATTCTGCCCTGGGCATATGTGTGAGTTTCTGAGTTTCCCACTATGCAGGGATGTTTTGGATGCTTTTATATCCCAGAGAAAATCTGTGCCTAGCTTTTCTGTGCAGCTTTGGGCACTGTGTTATTTGCCTCCATTGTGATCTTTTGCGTGTCCTGGTGGCTTTGCGTGCCCTACGGTGGTTTTTGAGGATCGTCCATCTCTTGTGCCTCATGTGAGTTCTGAATCGGGTGATGCAAAGACAAACACCTTTTGTCAGTGTTTCAGGCCGCCCCCAGATGGATTAGGACAGATAAGATGTTGGGGGCCCCTGCTGATTTGGTGGTCTCTGCACATTAGTAAATGTGGTTTCTCTGGGGAAGGGTTCTCCTTTACACCGAGAATCCCCGCAGGACGGTCCTTTCTAGGATCACGTCTGCCACTGCCTCCTGCGGCATTTAGTGTCCCCAAACACTGTTCTGGAGTGAGTGTCCCATTGTTGCTCTGGCAGGTAACTGGGCAGTTGTATTCGGTGATGATAGACTATCTCAGAGAACTTTGAAACTAAAATTAGTCACCACCTTTGTTGGTTTGAACCATAGTAAATTCAACTAATTTTCTATTCACAACAATCGTATTTGCAAGTTGAATATGGCATCAGATTTGAACAAACCCAAAGTTGTCAGAATCCCTGCAAGATGGATTTTTTTATGAAATGGTCCGTAAATGTTCTTATCAGCAAAGGTTAAGTGCTTTAAGCTTTACGTGGATAATATAATGATACATTAGTCCTTCAAAGTGTCCCCACTTTACTGAGATTAAAATCTGAATATCATGGCAACTTTGCACAACCATGCCTGGTCTGACCTTCTCTACCCTGAAGGTTGCCTCTCAGATGTCTTTTCCTCCTGCTTTTCTTCACTAGGCTCACTGGCTTCTTCTACTGCCCCCTGAAAGTCTGGCTCCTAACCTAAGGCTTTTCCACAGCCATATTCCCTTCCTGGAATAGTCCTTCCTCAGTGTTCTTATGGGGTTTTCCCTCATTCCCTTTAATCCTTGCTTCACATCACCTCTCATTGACACACACGATACACTTTGCCCCCATAAGACTAGCATTGTCTTTCCCATTACTGTGCCCTACATTTTCTTCTCTTCCATAACACTACTCATCTCCCAACAGAGCATGCAGTTTATGTATTGAGTAGGTTTATTTTTTATTGTCCAACCCTCTGCACTAACATGGAACTCCAGGGAGCACAGATCTGTGTCTTCTCTGAGCCTAACACAGTGTCCACACAGTTGACAGTCAATCAATATTTGATGAATAATGAAACATGCTTTTCTTTTCTTTCTCAGTAAGTGAATTAGCTGAATTCTAATCCACATTTTGTTGTTGGAGGTCTTTGAGTAATTGATTTGATATTATATCAACGTAAATTATACTATTAGTGTGAGTAGCTGTTGGGCATTTCTTATGAACATCATTTTTCTGGTTAACACCTCTTCGTGTCCTAGTTACCTTTTCCATTATATTGACTTTTCATCTAAATGATTAAGGTGATTACATGCTATGTTCTTCTATAGCAAGTACCATAAAGTTACTTACACAGAAGTTTTTTGAAAAATAAGTAATTCAACTGTTTATTTCCTCTTAAAATGTCAGTGGAAGTAAATATTACAATTTGAGATCCTCTTAAATTCTGATCATCATAGATTTTACTTTATTTCCAAAAAATAAGCCAGAATCCATGTCTGTAACTTCACATTTCCATTTTATACCTAAAATTGTTTTTGTTTAACATTTACTTCCTATCACTTAGTTTTGTTTGGTCTCCTGGAAGCCACTTTCAAACCTTCAGCAGGTCGATTGCAACCAGTGGCCATTGAGGAACTAGGATCAGCCAGGCAGCCAGGATAGCAGCATGGCAGTGACCCCAGGGGGAGGGTTCTATTCAATTTTAGCAACCAAGGTAAGATTTGCAGGTAGAAGGAAACGAAGTTCATGAAAAAGGTAATTATCTGTATTTAAGGAATAACATTTTGGTAAAGTCAAAAGAATCAAAACTGTCTTAGTAAGACAAAACCCTTGAAATTAGTAATATAGGTAAATTAATAGGTCTCCTTTGATGGACAAATGATTTACAAAGATTTAAGCTTTTTTTTTTTTTGGAGGTACATCTGTATCAAATGCTTGGCCTCATTTTCAAACAATGGTTAGTTATTTGTTGTCTTTTAAAAAATACTAACTTTTGTTTTAGATTTGGGGGATACCTGTGCAGGTTTGTTACATGGGTATATTGTATAATGTATAATAGGTAGTTTTTCAACCCTTTGCCCCTTTCCAAATAAATCATTATTTGTTGTCTTTAAAATAGAGTTCCATTTTCACCAGTGAAAGATGACTTTCCAAAGTTGTCTGCCTGTGTACACAGAAGGGACCCAAAAAATAAAGTTTTCTTCTCTGTCTGAATTATGAATGCATTGAGAAATAAGACACCTCTTCCACAGGTGTGAGACCACTGGAAAGCACCCAACAAATCCAAAACTTATTACAATCTAAGCTGACTTCAACCATTTTAGTTGATATCTATAGCCATATGAACTTCCTAATATAAAACTCTGGATTAGACCAACATCCCTCCATTCCTCCCCCTCTAAACTCCACTGTGCCTCTCAGCAAACGTAAGAAGTATATGCATTGCCTGGTACTTCGTTTCCAGGGTGGAGAGAGAAAGGCTTCATGCTCCAAGTTCCTACTTTCCTTTTCCAAACTCACCAAGCAAAGAATTTGCTCTACTTCCCCAGAATAGAGAGCATCAGAGGGGTGGAGACCCAGCAGGGGAATTATACTGCTGGAGTTGTTACGTCTGCATAGAAAGCAATACATCCCTGAACCATTTATATCCTTTCCATATAAGTCTATATTCATTTGAGATTTGCCTGAACTGTTGTTCAAATTGAATTCCTGAGACATATTTTAGACATATTGAGATTACTAGATCCAGACTACTCCAGAAGAGTAGGTCAAAGATGAAACAACAGAAAAGGCAATTGAGAAATAGAAATTGCAGCAAATACATGGAGTGTAACATCGGCCCTGGTTTGCACCGGGAAAGAAAAAAGTTGCTGAGGCATTATGGGGCTTTGAGAAGTTATTATTTAACTTGGACATCTGAAGTCAATTCAGGTTTACAACCAACCTTTATATTTGAATGGAACCTAATCATGAGTAAATGAAACCAATCCAATCCTAAAATATCCTCTGTGATATTATACTTTGGTTAAAAAAAAATGACTACTGAGACTACTGAGATATTTTGCATGAATAACGTTATGAAAAATGCATGTCTTCTTCAGAATCCTAAAAGCATGGCACTTGATAAAGATTAGTTATTTGCAAATGCCTCCCTTCAAATTCAAAATAATATCTACTACACTTTGGAGTTTCAACCAAATGTGTTTGAATACAATTTTCCTCCAACATTTCCTTTTCTGCCATTTGTGTTATGCTTATTTTCAGCCTGGGGCAACTTAACTCCTGGGGATCACAATGAGATCAGGAACCCGCTGCAGTTGACTCTCTGTCACTGGTGGTTATCTGGGACTATTTTAATGCATGTCATAAATCACAAAACTTTCCATTTTGAAACAAGTAGAAATGATATTGAGCATGGGTTGCTAAAATCTATTTTAGAAAGTCTGGTGTCTGTAAGTCTTTCCTTTATTTGAAATGCAAATTTTAGCCTGGAAAGGAAAATAACATGACAGACAAGGTACTCTTGTGAATTAAACAATTACCAGAATTTTTAGTAATAACAAAAAAATGTTTCTACTGCAGCACGGAAAGATAGCCATGACCTACTTGAGTCTACTTAAACTTCTAATGTGGTTGCGCCTAGTGATCGTCACCTTAATTCAGTTACTTGGGAGTCTGTGGATCCAATCACTCCTTTATAGGAGCCCGATTTGTATAGATGAAAAGTCATTTGCTTTATCTCTAAAATTGCCTCCTGCTGTGACCAGTCAGATCACTCAACACCTAAGAGTCTACTTTGGAAATTTCTACTAAATGGGCTGAATCTGTGGCTGGGAAAGAGACAAGGAGCTCTGTCTCTCATAAACACATCCTCTAGAGCGGGGTCCCCAAGCCCTGGACTGAGGACAGGTACCTATCTGTGGCCTGTTAGGAACCGGACCACACAGTAGGGGATGAGCAGTGGGTGAGCAAGGGAAGCTTTGCTTGTATTTCCAGCCACTCCCTATCACTCACATTACCACCTGAACTCCACCCCACCACATCAGCAGCGGCGTTAGATTCTTACAGGAGCATGAACCCTATTGTGAACGGTGCACGCAAGGGATCTAGTTTGTGCAGTCTTTATGAGAATCTAATGCCCCAAAACCATCCCCACACCCTTCACAGAAAAATTGTCTTCCACAAAACCGCCCTGGTGCCAAAAAGCCTGGAGACTGCTGCTCTAGAGCTTGTCACTGCGCTTGGGATTGCCCTGATGGCTGAAGCTGTGGCGAATCTGTCTTTTTTTTTAAATTTTGAGACAGAGTCTCTCTCTGTCTCCAGGCTGTGGTGCAATGGCTTGATCTCGGCCCACTGCAACCTCTGCCTCCCGGGTTCAAGCGATTCTCCTGCCTCAACCTGCTGAGTAGCTGGGATCACAGGTGCAGCCACCACATGGGGCGAATCTGTCTCGGCAGGCTCGGCACAGTGGTTCTTTCTGGTAGGCTGCATGCACTGACCCCGCTTGTCTCTTTAAATGGAAATTCCCACTTCCTCCCAAAGCAGAATGAAACAGACAAAAAAACAGAATGGAAGTCTCATATGTTTGTTTCAAAAGACCTTCACTGATGCTAATACATTAGACTAATGAGAAATGTCAAATGTCTCTTCACAGTTATTCCTGGTCTCGAAGTATAAATGAGACTGGATTTCTATTCTGACATCATTTTCCCCAATCCCATCCTTTGATTTTTATGGTTCTTTTGAAGACTCCTATTTAATGCAATCCCTCAATGCTTTATAATTGGGAATAGAATTTATTGCTGCTTCCTCTGCCTCTCCTAATCTCCTTTATTATTAATTTAATTGGAAAAAAATTGTGTTAAAGATTTGACAATTCAAGTTCTTCCTGACTCAATCATGGCTCATAGGTATCTTAGAGGAAAGCTGAGACTTAGACATTTTTCTAATTGAGTCTCCTTTCATTATACTTAGGGAGCTAGACCCAGAGGATTGAGTTAAAGTTCTCCCTATCAGGTCTCTAAATCATACTAGCACATGAAAGATAATCTAATGTCTCTCCCTAACTTGCAGGCCAGGGTTCTTTATAAGACAGGAGTCCTTTAATTCCAATGAGCTCTCTGTTTGGTTCAGTAAATCAAATTAGGTCACCCCTAATAATCACACAGCTTGCCCATTAAATACAGATGGGGAGTAGGTATGTGTGTTTAAATCTAAAGACGTGTGAATTAGAGTGTCATGTTGAAATAATAATGACAGAATATCATCATATACCTGGCAGAAATTGAAAGAGAATTATCCCAGAAGATGTGTAAGGATCTTATGAGAATATTAACCATGTGGGCCTCATTTTACAGCTGGATATTAAGGAATAGTTTTGTTCTTAAGTAAAATAGTAAATTATGACTCTGATTAGAGAAACCAGTAAACTTTATTTTTTCTTCTGTGATCCGCTTGTGTTTGTTCAATTCCTCCCCCCACCAGTATATGACTATAATCAAGCTACAGTGCAAAAAATTAGAAATGATGCCAGCTGAAGACCCGAGAAACAGCACAGCAGTGGAGGAATGCACTGCTTGAGCTGATCTGCTTGAATATTCAACGCTATTAAAGGTTGATTTTGTCAACACTTTTTTTTCTGGAAATACCAAATCTTTAACATTTGATCATTAAACAAATGCTTTTTATGATTTATAAAACTGTCCTCTTGCTGTTTGCCAGGTATTTAATATTCTTAAGTTTATACACATCTGATATTAGGGAATTTGGTACAATAATTTGATTTTTTTTCTCAGTTGAAACTATAGTACTCATTTTAGCCTCAGCTTTTTGCTGCCATTCGCTTGGCATCATGTTATATTTCCTGAGACATCTGCACTAGATCTAAAAGTTTTGATCCTTTGTACTGCTTTGATCAGTGAATATTGCAAATGGTCCCTTGTCTCTAAGTCCATATTTCTTCTTGTTATCAATATTTAACTTATGAGTACAAGTTTCTGGTTCATTTGTAATGGTTAAAGCAAGGCAAATAAGAATAGTATTATCCTGCTAAATAGATCAACACTTCTGTTCACATACTTTATCTAGGCAACTAGCTATTTTTCTGCTTTCTACTCTACAACCTTGGAAGCAAAACTTGGGTAAAATAAAGAAGAATAGAATCTAGATGAAACTGAATAACCATGCTTAAATAGGCAAAATACATATTTTCTGCTCTCAAATCTCTAATTAGAAATCAGTAAAATAAAATCACACACAGAATCAACTACAAGCTGTATCTTTTTTTTTTTTAACTCAAGGCCACAGACTCGAAAGGCTGTCACTTCCTTTTTGCCAAAATACTTTGTATAGCAAATCCGAATTCTCCGTGGAGTTTCAATGTCATGCGTTGTTTCTGCAGAAGCATCACGTCGCAAAACCAAGCTAAAATAAGAGGCAGAAGCCAGGGCTTTGATTTCTTGCCCACAGCTTAGGAGCAAGTTAAAAGTTGAAAGGCCATACAAATGGATGTAGAAATTTAGCTGAAGATCAATTACAGTGGCAAATCCGTTAAGGGAGCTATTGTTTTCATTGATTTTTTTTTTTTTTTTTTTTTTTTTTCTTGAGACGGAGTCTCGTACTGCTGCCCAGGCTGGAGTGCAGTGGCACCATCTAGGCTCACTGCAAGCTCCGCCTCCCGGGTTCACGCCATTCTCCTGCCTCAGCCTCCCGAGTAGCTGGGACTACAGGCGCCCGCCACCACACCCGGCTAATTTTTTGGATTTTTATTAGAGACGGGGTTTCACCGTGTTAGCCAGGATGGTCTCGATCTCCTGACCTCGTGATCCGCCCGCCTCGGCCTCCCAAAGTGCTGGTCATTGATATTTTTATGACTATTTGGTGTCTTCTACATATTCACACGTAAAGCTGTCTCATCCCAGACATGATAAATTCTAATATCAATCAAGTTCTCGACAGTCTTATGTTCAAGGCAGCTGTGTCATCTGTGTGAACGACACTCTGTGGAGTTGTGCAGTGCACAACCTGTGCATCAACACATGGTGCCCCCAGTCATACACCTGCAAATATTATTGAAATTCCAAACCTCTTTTATTTGTTAAAGGCATAACTCATATTGTAGTATCAGGTCAGAATAGTTACTTATGAAATAAAACTAAAGATAAACATCATTATTAGTTTCTGAAATGCCTACACAAATAGAGACAAAGAAACAGAATTTAGCCTTCGGCTCAGATACACAAAAACGTTTAATTTTTTTTCCAATTAATGTAGTTTCATGGCTTCTTATAAAGAGGAGTAGAAGAGTTCTTAAAATTAAAAAATTGGCCTTTGCTTTTGTAGTGGAATTTGTAGACACATTCTTTTCAGAAAATGACAGAAAAAATACTATATCATTTCTAAATTGTGTCAGGATAGGATGAGCACAGGGGTAGAAGTCCTACTCACGTGGGTTTATACCCCTCATTTCTTTGCTTTGTATATGTGGCTTTGGAAAAAATCACTCAAGCTCTTTAGTTTTTCTCATCAGTAAAATAGGAATGATAATGCCTGTCTTTCAAGATCATTTGTGATGATTAAAATATGGAAACTATTTACCTTATAATAGGTACTCTGTCAATGTTCACAATCATTACTGTAGGTAGTAATAATATCTTTTATCAGATACAATAGTCACTCCAGCTCCCTTGCTTCCATAGACCAAATGTTTACTGTGCACTGGGCACTGTGCTTGGCACTTGGAATATAGCAGTCAGTAGATTATAATAAAGGTATCTGCCTTCATGGCTGCCAGTCTAGAGCATTACTATCTTCTTGAGAAGGTTAGATCATATAATGACAGGTGTATCAATGATGACTCACTTATTTTGAGCACCTTGGCAAATATACCAACTGAAGCCTACAAGAAGAGTTTCTCGGCCAAAGAGAATATATAACCGCAGTATAGATATGTTTATTGAAGGCACTACTCCAGGGCCCTAGGATACTAGGTGTCAGTACTAAGGAAGTGCTGGCTTCATTGCAGACTGAAATTGATTTACGTATATGCGGAAGCACACTCTTATCCTTTGTGACGTTGTTACTGTGGTGGGTGTGCATACTTCCCGACCAACTATAAACACACATTTTACCAGACAAGTGGTGGGGTGGCATCAGCCGGCATCTGATGTCTCAACTCCAACATAATGGAGTAGCCCTCATCCCCACAAATTCTCTTCCTAAATTCACAAAGACACTGAGGAAAAGCACAACTGTAAATGTTAAAAATCCAGTAAAAGGTGAAACATGGTTGTCTGTGAAATGAGCAACGTAAATGGTGATATGCATCATGATTTTATCCATGCAGCCACTGTGCAAAAAAAAATCACATTTTTTGTGCAGATAGACACTAAACCCAAATATAAGTTATAGCACTATTTCCCTAAGAGAGGGAGAAAGCAGGCATGTGTGTGTGTGTTTGTGTGCATGCATGCATGGTGTGTGTGTGAGGAAGATCTATTTCATGCCCTTGTGGTGTGGACTGAGCCCCAAGACTCATGGCTGAGGCACCATTAGGGGCCACTTGGTGACAGACAATCCCGTAGATCACAGAGAATGTGGATCATGTCATTATATCCTAAGTGACTCACAGGTGGGGAAGCAGGAACAAGATAAACAAAAAACTACAAGAAATTAGCAAGAAAAAACAACCCCATCAAAAAGTGGGCAAAGGATATGAACAGACACTTCTCAAAAGAAGACATTTATGTGTCCAACAAACATAAGAAAGAAAGCTCAACATCACTGATAATCAGAGAAACGCAAATCAAAACCACAGTGAGATGCCATCTCATGCCAGTCAGAATGGCAATTATTAAAAAGTAAGGAAACAACAGATGCTTGTGAGACTGTGGAGAAATAGAAACACTTTTCCACTGTTGGTGGGAATGGAAATTAGTTCAACAACTGAGGAAGACAGTGTGGCAGTTCCTCAAGGATCTAGAACCAGAAATACCATTTGACCAGCAATCCCATTACTGGGTATATACCCAAAGGAATATAAATCGTTCTACTATAAAGACACATGCACATGTATGTCTACTGCAGTACTATTTACAATAGCAAAGACTTGGAACCAACCCAAACGCCCATCAGTGATAGACTGGAAAAAAGAAAATCCAGTACATACACACCATGGAATACTATGCAGCCATAAGAAAGGAATGAGATCATGTCCTTTGCAGGGACATGGATGAAGCTGGAAGCTTCATCCTCAGCAAACCAACACAAGAACAGAAAACCAAACACCACATATTCTAACTCACAAGTGGGAGCTGAACAATGAGAACACATAGATACAGAGAGGGGAACAACACACACCAGGACATATTGGGGGGTGGGGGATGAGGGGAGGGAACTTAGAGGAGGGGTCAATAGGTGCAGCAAACAACCATGGCACACGCGTACCTACGTAACAAACCACCATGGCACACGCGTACCTACGTAGCAGGCCGCCGTGGCACACGCATACCTACGTAGCAGGCCGCCGTGGCACACGCGTACCTACCTAACAGACCTCCGTGGCACACGCGTACCTACGTAGCAGGCCGCCGTGGCACACGCGTACCTACGTAGCAGGCCGCCGTGGCACATGTATACCTATGTAACAAACCTGCAGTTTGTGCACATGTATCCCGGATTTTTTTTTTTAGAAGAAATTAAAAAAAAAAAAAAATAGAAACAGCAAACTGGCGCCCGAAACACTCTGAAGTTACGTATGGCCCAGTGGCCTATTTGTCCAAAGAGATGGATATGAACCCATTTGTGATTTTTATACATTTAAATTTGACTTGTTGGAGATCAATTTCTTCATATTAAACTTATAAAACACCCCTTAAGAACTGACTTTGCTGCCATCTTGGCCTCACTTTGGATGGCCTAGAGGAGGGCCGTGTCAGCACCTTGGCTGTTAGTCTATGACTAGGTCCACATCCCGGGAGAGAGAAAATGTGTTGGACATTTATATCTCTTTTTAAAAATGTGTGTACTAATTTTGATGAGGTTAAAAAAATCTGCTCATAATTTGTCATGATTCAGGTCTCCATATCTGTATAATTTTCATAACAAAAAACCCTCATTATATTCTTCTTTACTGTCTGTCCTCTTAGAGAGCTTGTATTAGCTTCAACCTTCAGGTATAATCATAGATCTAGGGGTTTTAGTATGACTTTTTAACATTTCAATTTCTCTTTGGAGGTGAACTCTACTAAGCATTAAAATAGAGCATGGTATTACAATTTTAAAATATGCCTTGTTGACGCAGAAATCTTTCTTCATTGTTGAGGAAAGACAACTATGGCACTCATATATCTACACAGAAAGAATTTGTATATGCGAACACCCAGGAATCAGGCAACTGGTAGTTTTACACCTTTTTTAGTGAGTAATGCTGAATCCATCCTATAGTATCCCAATTAAACTACATCAATTTACATCTCAGAGTTTAAATGCACTACTTAGGGAAACATTTTACTACATTCATTCACTGCCACAACCTTGAGACACTGGAGCTTCTGGCTTCACCCGTATTAAAGCAAGAGTAATACATAGCATGATTTCAAATGTAGGGAACAACTCAATCCTACTGACCCAAGATGAAGTGTCATCACTGGGAATTTCATTAAGAGATAAATAAATACCTGACATACAACTAATTATTAGTTCTAAGAAAAAATAAATATAATAAAAAGATTAGTTCTACCATGCATAGAGGAAGAGAATTCTCTCCACTGGCAATGGGTGCTATGTTTCTATAAGAAAAGTAGCATTGACTTCAGAATAACTTGCATTATTGAAATATAAGCTCGAAGTCTCTGAAGCGAAGACTCAGGTTTAGATTGTCACCTGTTTCAGGCAAAAAAATCGTTTATTTCCAAAACATCGATGTGAGATCTGGGAATCGTGAATAAAACAGTGCTTGTTGTTTTTGATTTGATTGGCTGAGGAATATAACCGACTTTATCACTCAGAATCTCTAAAGTCGTGTTACATGGCCTTGAAATCCTCATATTTTAAGTACAATGTTTAAGTACAGTGAGCGGAGGAGCACATGCAGGCGTGGGGTGCCATGAAGCCTCCCTGTGAAGAATGATGTGTCCCGGAATCTAAAGGACAACAGGGTAAAGGCAGGCACAGGGCAAATCCCACTCATCATCTTTCACGTAAAATTCTCTTGCAATTAGGAGGCCCTCTAGCTAAATATTCCTTTGTAAAAATGACAATAATCATCTTTTTTCTTTTCTGTGTCTACCCCTGCTTCCTACCTTCGACATCTCTTTTTGCCAGTCTACAATTACTTTGCAAAATGGGCAGCCTCGTCATCCCGCACCTGTGGAAACTGGGGCTCATATCCATGAGGCAATATGTTCAAGGCTTAATGCTCCATGCAGCAAATTAATCATATTTTAGATTTGTTTGATCCGAAGCCCAGTGCTTTGCTTGCCTTTTTTTTTTTTTTTTTTTTTTTGCCCCTGCACTACACCTGCTGTCTTGGCAATTTGTCTTTTCAGAGTGGGTACACACTGAATGACTTTATTACCATTAATGCAACAATTTCTCAGTAGGTGAAAACATTACATTGCTGGAGTTAACTAAAGCTGCCTCCCCTGGGGGCAACAGCAGAGGGAACAACATTGACATCATATCCGTGAGGTTCCAGTTCTGACTCATGGCAGCCTTGTCTTGCCCGGAATGATGACCCCTGTCTAGAAGGAAAAAGCAGAGATGCCAACGTCCATAGGAACAGCATGTAGGAGAAAAATTAGCTTCCCATAAAGCAGGGAGTATTTAAGGAGCTTTCGACAATCAGGCTGCTGAACAGGGTTGAGAGAATAGCAACTCTGCTTTTGGAATTAAAATATCACCTGCATCCTAATGTTTTAAGTAATCACTAACCAGAATATAGATTTATAGTTCTTTCAAGTACCACTGCTTTCCCTGCTTCCCTATGAGTGTGCACAGAGATTTAATTTGTCCGACCACCTCTACCTCCCACACATGCACTCAAACTCACCCACAGGCTTCAACAATTGAATGTCAACTAGCAGGCACTATTCTAGAAATGGGCATATAAACAAGCCAATCATTATCTTCACTCTTGGAAGGTTTACATTTTAGTGTAGAAAGAGATCATCAATGCGTAAGCAAGTAAATAGGATATTTCACAAAGTTATAAATGCTATAAGGGAATACAATAGTGTAGGCGCCAGGCATGGTGGCTCACACCTGTAATTCCAGTACTTTGGGAGGCTGAGGCGAGGCCATCACCTGAGGTCAGAGGTTCCTGCCCAGCCTGGGCAACACGGTGAACAACCCTGTCTCTACTAAAAATAGAAATATTAGTCAGGTGTGGTGGCGCGTGCCTGTAATCCCAGCTACTCTGGAGGTTGAGGCGGGAGGATCACTTGAACCTGGGAGGTGGAGGCTGCAGTGAGCTAAGATAGCGCCGCTGCACTCTAGCCTGGTGACAGAGAGAGACTCTGTCTCAAAAAAAAATAGGGCAAAGGGTAGCATGTAATGTTGGAAGAATGTTGCTGATTGAGATATGAGTGTCTGGAAAGAGTATACTGCATTGAGTGAGACCTGCATGAGGCCTCAATGAAAAAATCTGGGCAAAGCTCATTTCGGGTAGCTGGACCCACATGTTCAAAGGGCCTGGGGTGGGAACAAGCGTGGTGTGTTCAAGGAAGGGAAAGAAGTGACACTGACCAGTGAAAACCTCCCTTTTCCTTTTGGAGTGATACAAACCGGGTACTCCTGGTTCATTTTGAGTGTAAGAGCTCCCTTCAAGGCCTTGCTCATGGGCAAAGACTCCACAGTGAGAAATCGATTCCTTGGCTCTCTTTCAGGCAGGCTGCCTCTGGCATTTTTACTTTTCTTCTTTGCTCATGTAGTGAGTAATCTCCCATAAGTGTTTGGGAGTAAAACCCAACCAAGTACCCTAGGGCGCTGAGCCAGAGTGGCTGATGTCAGTAGCTCCAGGTGATCTGAGAATCATCAGGCTTTCAAAGCCTCCTACAGGGCATGGTGTTCCTGCAAAATGCCTGAAGACTTTAATTCTGAAAACCCTTAATCGAAGTCCCCGGAACGGCACTTTAAATCATGGTCCTTCCACAATTAATTATTTTCCCCATAATGCAGACCCTGGAATAACCCCTGAAACTGTAGAAGATAATGCAGAATTTAATGCATATTTGATTTGTTTACCGTTTCAAACAGCGCTTATCTGATCAGGGAAACTTCCACTTCCTTCATTGAAATCTGAGGCCTCTCACTATTTCAAATTCCAGAGCCACTTAGAAGTCTGTCGTACTCCTTAGCTCTTAAATAAAAAAATTCACTGAAAATCGCAATGGACCATTTTATTTTATATTATTTTATTTTTTCTTTATTTTATGTTTTTTACTTGAGAGTTGCTTGATAGCTACGTCCAGTAGGAGTAAGGCAATGTTTAGTGTTCCAGAAAAGCCAACAGGTATACAATAGAAATTGACTACAAAAATGTCAAAAATGAAAGATGCTTTGGAGGTCAAAAATCTGCCTGTCAGAAAGTAATCAAGTTCTCGTTTACACAGTAATTTATATAGACATGAAAACCATAAATTGTCATTTTCACAAAATAGATGTAGTAAAAGGATCGACACTGCCCCTGAGTGTAATAAATATGTAAGGTTTATTTTTCCACCAATGATGTTGTTTTAGAAAGGAGCCAGTGTGGTGATCTGGGCTTTTTGCAAACGGGATAAAAACCACAAAGGCTGTTTTTGATGTTTATCTCCAATGAGACATACTGTTCAGATGATAATATGGCTTCTGCCTGGACTCTATTTACACACAAATCTATATACGCTTTCAAATGATATCAGGCCCCAGAGTTGGAGACAATTATACATTCCCAAGTCTTTTCATCTCCAGACTGTTCCTCTGCAGTCCTGTCCATCATTTCTCAAATGACTCGTTTCCTCGTTTGTAGAATTTGCTACAGAGTATCATTTCCCTGCATGGCTGTCTCCACATACAGAACAGTATAGTCCACATCTTTCTAAGTCCCTAAACCCAATTACATGTCAAAATATCTTTGATGTCCAAACATTTGCTCTCAGACAGAGGTTTTGAATAGCAAAACCATTCCCTCATCATAAAGCATTACCCAAGTAATTATTTTCACAGCTAGCAAAGCAAAGGCTAAGCTACACACCCCACTTCAAAGGCTGTGCACGAATTAAATGAGGTAGTAGAACATATTTGGCACACCAGTTTTTAAATATTATGTCCACCTCTACTACTTTCTGAGAATGCCCACCCAGCCCAGGACTGAGAGAAACAGCACAGTTTCATCCAGGTGTAGAATCTAGGAAGGCGTTTGTTTATGATACCTTCACTCCTCAAATGCTCACAGTGAATCAGTTTGGATCACAGATGAATCATCTCAGCTGCTACTTTCTAGGAAAAGTATGTGCCACTGCTATACAGCAGCACGAATTACAGAGCAACAGCCCGGGAGAGGAGCCAACCAACTGTAGGGGGGTGTTCAGAGTGGAGGGGTTAGTTCATCTCAGAAATGATGAGGGCACAGGGCCATTTTCTAAGCTGGGTGTTTCTGAGACAGGCTTTCAAAGTAGAAAATTGTCATAGGACACAGTGAGCCCTGCCTTTACTGGAATGTGTTTTCCGGCCTCCAAGAGGGGCACTGCTGTATAACCAACCATCAACTCCATGGCTCACCGGGGCCCCGAACAAGTAGTCCTATAGGCTCCTTGCCGAGCACTTGCCCATCTTGCAGACCTGGACCTTCACAGGATAGAGAGTAGCACCTACAGGCTGACCAGGTCACCTCCAAAGCAAGGCACTTCGTAGGTCAGTTCTTACTGGTTCCTGCAGGACTGGCAAGTATTTAATCCAAATCCAAATTGTTCACATCTTGCATGCCAGGTAGTATTGCAACATTAACTGTAGATTAGAAAAGTGTTCAGCAAAATGTTAGCAATAATTATCTTTGGTAATAAGACTATGAGTGATGTTTATGTTTCCAATTGCTACTTAATACTTTCACTTTTTTTTCCTTCAATGGGCATTGATTAGTTTTAAAGAACGACAGAATTTAGAGTCCCTACATATCTAGATTTTCCGAATGTCTGTATTTACTCACCATTTTATTTTGTGATCTAAGGTATTTATTGTGATATATGTTATGACTCGATCACCATACATGAGGTCTGTAATGCACTGGGTTGCCTGCTGTGTTTGTTCGTGGAGATATAACTGGGTTTGGTGGGACGGCTCTAGGCTTTGGTGTCAGAAGACCTTGATTCATTCCCAGAAGACTTTGGACAACTTACTTCATTTTCACTTGTTCTTCCATCCTTGTAAAAATCATGATGTGTGGCTACTTAGACGGTCAACAAAGAGTATATGTGAAAATGTAGTTTGAAAACAGAACCTCAGTCCAACAGTATAAGACAGAATTTAAAAATGACTGAAGTTAACTCTGTGTATGGAAGGTTGTGGTATTAAGGACTTATCTAAGGAGTAGAAATCTGCAAAAAAACTAACTCTCTGATTCTTCTATATCTAACATTCTGCTGATTACTTTAGATAGGAGCCAGATGTTTCGTATATTATTATTTCGGTAACAGATGATTTAGATTCCAGTTGCCTAAAATTATGGCATGTGTTCAGGTTTTCTCTTGGAAGTTTGTTTGAATTATAGCAGCAAAAACATCTGTATGCACAATGTTGCATGTATGTTTCTCTGTGATGTGTATTTTGGTATCCATGCAATTACAGATGTGTATTTTGGTATATGTGTAATTGCATGCATACCAAAATACACATCACAGAGTGTGTTCATATATATATATATGAAATTGAAATCGAAATTGAAATTGAAATCAAACTTCAGTATCACTAGGAAAAATATACACATACATATATATATACTTCTTTTTTACCATTGATATTGCCATTGATATTGATATTTTATTTCAGGGTGACTTCCGGTGTCAGTTTATGGAGGAAGAAGACCATTAGACTTTTTTTTTTTTTTTTTTAGCAATAATTAAGGTTTCAATCCCTGTAAAATAACATCTTAATTTTAACTAAAACATTACAATTATCACAGAAACTACCGATTATTTTATTGCCCTGAAGAAATACAAATTACAAAGGTACTTACAAGGGATTCATGTTAAACAACATGTTGAAATATGGTTATGTTTGCAGCATTTAAAAGTTGTCCATTAAGAATATTCAATTAAAATAATCCACTTGTTTGAAGCTGTACTTAAGGACATCATTTACATTAAGCTTAGATGTACATCGTTTACAAAGAAAACATGTATAGAATATTTGTGCATACTCTATAGTAGGCAAGGGCCCATTAGAGTATAAGATCCAAGAGAAAAGAGGACTACCATATTAGCTTTAAATCTAGATTCTATATCTTTGTGGATTTTATGGCTTTCTATTCTGTTCCACTGGCTATTTAGGCTTACACCAATCAAACACTGCTTTAATCACGGTGGCTTTATAATAAGATGCAGTATTAAGTTGCAGACCAAATACATCCGATTCTATCTTAGGCATAGATACTTTAAAAACTTCTTGGTTGTTTGCACTGGACAGCCAACGATGATATTCATTCTGCTAAGAACTTTTGAGCAGTTGCCAAAATTTCTAACCGGTGCTATGGAATGTCAATGAATGGATCAAATGTGACTCATTCAGCAACATGCACTGTACTCATTAGTACCCTGAATGCAGCCTAAATGTTATTCCTTGAGGAAATCTTCATATCTGTTCATCTGATTCAACCTGATGGGTCTATAACAGTAACTACTTTCCAGTTGACGTTTTTCTGTTGAACTGATTTTTCTTTTTTCCAATTTATAATCAAGTCTTCCCTTTTTTTGATTTACTGTTAAGCAAGAATTACTCGTAAAGCAGACAAGCTATTTTCTTTAAAAACCTTTCAAAACCCCACAGCTTTAATATTTACTTGTTACAGTGTTATTATTGGACTTAAATTTAGTGGAAAATGGGCTTTTTATTAGTTCTCTGGTTTTAAACTCATAAATCCCTTTCATTAAATCTTTTTATTAAGATTTTGCCAACTCCCACAAGCATTTGATAATATTACTGTGAATGATTTGAGCTCACTGAGGTCTACTGTTGTAAAATACTTTTTAAGTATAAAATGTAGTTGAAAATAATTTTCTATTTGTACTTTAACAATAAGAGCTGAGATAATACTTGTATTCAAGTACTTACACTACATGCCACAATCTGAGTACACCCAGGTCCCTTCAAAACTTTCTCAATATTTTTAGTGTCAAAACATTTAAATACATTTAAAGCACATTAGTGGGAAATGGGCATATTAAGAAGGTAAGAAACATAGACAGTTTTTGCGAGCTACTTAACAGCTAACCTCAGACAAACGAAATGTTGGAAGGGTTTGAGTGGGTTATCCTATTCCCTTACAGGATAGTAATATTTACAGGGTACATGAGCAGAGTGTGTTTATGAGAGCACACTTCCAACGATCTGTCTGCCCCGTTTTCAGCTTTGGCTCCTCTTGCTTCAGTTGGATTGGCCCAGGCATGGCCATCAGAGGCAGACTGTTACAGGTAACTGAACAGACCAAAAAAAAAAAAAAAAAATTGACAACCACAGGGACCAAATTAGCATGGCACGGAGAGCTTGTATGTGGGAAGTAACTTGGGAAGGGGAAGGGCTGAAACAGGCAAGTAGGGAATCACCCTGCAAAGTAGGTGGATGAAGATCAGGAGTAGCGGAAATGAAATGCATCGGTGAGGCTGACAAGGCAGGCATTTCAGTTTGTCTAGTGGTAAAAATAGAATAGGTGGGTCAGGTGTGCAGCTGTTACTAATCTCCCAGAGCTGTTCTTTCAGCGCTTGGTTCTTGCAGGAAGCCTGGGGCCTACAATTTACTCAAGGGTTCTATTCTTTCAAACTACTCCAGCAGTCTGGGAGTCACCTGAGAAGTGCTTTGTTAGAATCAATAACACAAAATCTTCAGAGGCAGAGGCAGAATGAAATCAGTTCCTCAGACACTGCTCAGTGGCTTCAAGGTGGCTTTGTGGCACTCAATTGCCCTTCAGCCCTCATCATTTCCCATTGTCATGTCAATCCTAAACCCTCAGGGTGATCCCAATTCCACCTGCCAAAGGGAAGTTCTTAAGGGAGGGCTGAGTAAAACGTGAGATGTCCTGCTGTCCTGCTTAGGGACTAAGCTAATTCACTTACTGCTTACTTACTGCTCTTTGGAACTCTGAGCCTTTTCTTTACTTGGTCCCCTCATTTTGTGGTACACCTTCCTTTCTGCTCCACCTCCTAAGTCCTGCCTGTGTGAACGGGTAGACATCAATAGTGAGGATGTTGTTACAGTCCTCGTTTTGCTGAGCTGCTCTTTCATTTTAGCGTCATTTAACTTACCTTGTTTTATGTCTTTTATTTTCAACTTGATAAGCTTCCTTTATGCATATGTTATTCTTCTGCCCAGTAAGACATTTGCCAGCACAGGCACCGATCAATCACTGGCGTATTGACCTTGTTTTTTTCTAACTATTCTTATTACCACATATTGCAGTTATGTGGCTAGGTGTGTATGTATATAGTTTTATAATGTTTATTCTTCTGTAACTTAGTTTCCACCAACAAAGAATTTAGGGTGGAGTGTTTTAAGCATGATACTATGTAGATAGCACCAAATTTGTTCCCCCATGAACTGAAATTTGATATTGATGAGGCTGTATTTTAAAGTGACAGGATAAAGAACTTCCCTAAACTTCTAATATTAGTTACAAAATGTTGCATATTTTCTTTTAATTTGTTGTTGTCCTCTATCTTTCAGCACTGCAGAACACTTAATTTATCCTTCAATATTTGTGCAAGAATTATAAAATGTTGTAAAAATTGGCTAGGCCGGGCGCGGTGGCTCACGCCTGTAATCCCAGCACTTTGGGAGGCCGGGGCGGGTGGATCATGAGGTCAGGAGATCGAGACCATCCTGGCTAACAAGGTGAAACCCCGTCTCTACTAAAAATACAAAAAATTAGCCGGGCGCGGTGGCGGGCGCCTGTAGTCCCACCTACTCGGGAGGCTGAGGCAGGAGAATGGCGTGAACCCGGGAAGCGGAGCTTGCAGTGAGCTGAGATCGCGCCACTGCAGTCCGCAGTCCGGCCTGGGCGACAGAGCGAGACTCCGTCTCAAAAAAAAAAAAAAAAAAAAAAAAAAAAAAAAAAAAATTGGCTAAAGTGTTTAGAAATTTTTTAAATCACAGATTAAAGATGGCCAGAATAATATGCTTTTTTGTGTGTGTTTTCTCTTCCAGGTCAGAACTGTGGAGGCTTAGTCCAGGGTCCCAATGGCACTATTGAGAGCCCAGGGTTTCCTCACGGGTATCCGAACTATGCCAACTGCACCTGGATCATCATCACGGGCGAGCGCAATAGGATACAGTTGTCCTTCCATACCTTTGCTCTTGAAGAAGATTTTGATATTTTATCAGTTTACGATGGACAGCCTCAACAAGGGAATTTAAAAGTGAGGTAAGGTATCAACTTTTTATATTACAGTTAGCACTGTTTGAATACACAGATTATGAAATCTAGTTGGAATATTTAAATTTTATTATTGTGTCCGGAGTTGGTTCCTTCCGGTGGGTTCGTGGCCTCGCTGACTTCAAGAATGAAGCCACAGACCTTTGGGGTGAGTTTTCCAGCTCTTAAAGATGGCAGGGAAACAAAGAGTTAGTGGTAGCAAGGTTTATTGCTAAGAGCGAATAAAGTTTCCACAGCACAGCAAGGGAGACCAACCCGTTGGGCTGCTTTTGTGCCCTTATTTGTCCCCTCCCATGTTCCATTTCTGTCCTATAGGAATGCCCTTTTTTCAGTCCTCCGTGTGATTGGCTACTTTTACGATCCTGCTGATTGGTGTGTTTTATAGAGCGCTGATTGGTGCATTTTACAGAGCGCTGATTGGTGTGTTTTACAGAGTGCTGATTGGTGCATTTTACAATCCTCTTGTAAGACAGAAAAGTTCTCCAAGTCCCCACTCAATGCAAGAAGTCCAGCTGGCTTCACCCCTCATTACCAGAAAAGAAAAATACAGTTACTATACAGAAAACTTGAAGTCTATCAACTTGTGGCAAATTGTGCATACTTTTTCTATACTTAAAAATTTAACTTTTTATTGAAAGTTATCACTGACTTTGTTTATAGATATATTGTTCAAGATCTGTGAAACAGAGTTGTCAAGGTAATTTAAATAAAATTATAATACACCATTGTTTTTAAGCAACTGTGAGTTTGAGAGAAAAAGAACAAAGATAAATTCTTGAGTACAATTCAGCTAATCAGAACAAAATGAACCCTTATGTTGTCAGAGAATATATTCAGTGAAAGGAACATAGGAGGTGGGTGAGGGAACAACATTCAGGGCTATTGCATTCTTTGGAGAATTTGTGGTTTAGACAATAATGGTACAATCTATTCGTAATTTGTTTTCTCTTTTGATCTATAGTTTTTACAATGAAGAAAGCAAAACATTTCCTGGTATCATTTTTAAATTATATTTTTTCAATTGTCAACAAGAAAAAATTATACCTGTACGTCTGTATCTACTTTTTGTTTTCAATTTGGCAAAGGAAGAAGGAATATCCCTTCCAAAGAAATCAGATTTTCCTAACAAAATTAACTTATATAGATTACTGATGTTAATGCCAACAGTAATACACACAAGAATCATATGCTTCATTTATTATTTTATGGGATGAGAAAAAAATCTCTACAGAAAACACAATTTTATGTGTACATCTAGTTTATAATATGTCAATATATGCTACATAACTAATAGGTTAAATATAAAATATATTCATTAATATATTTTCAAATATATTTTATTTGCATTTTTTCACCCACTTTCAAACACCTAGTTTTTTTTCTGAGTCATCTACAATATCTATTATCTGTTTTTAGTAGCATGTTTACCTTTCATACATAGTAGAATGGCCGTCTCTTTTCTGAAACAGGTAAGCTTTCCTCTGTCCTTTTATTACATTTATGGTCTTATGTGTTAGTATTTGAACAAAGTATCTACATATACAATACTTGCTAATTTGATGTAGGCTTTCTTAAATAATTTATGCTCTTTAAAAGCCAGTTACTTTTTTTGTTGTCAATTATCAACGCTACTAGGGTATAGTAGTGTATTATAATGGTAATAAAAACTGCAGAGTTACAGAAAAAAGAATTAGACAATCCATTTTATTCAAATGCCAATGTGTGTGACTCTACGTTAAAATTATGACTTTACCTTTCCATTAAAAAATGCTTGTTAAAAATATGCTCTCTTAAAAATGTTTCCATTTTCTTTCTCTCAATATTTTTATTTACTCTAGTTCTTTCATATATAGAAAACCTGTCTTAATTTGACTGACAGGTATGTCTTTCAATAATGTATTATCTCTTATGGTCTTATGGTACTATTATGATCATTTTATATTAATAAATATAAAACAACATTCTTACCATCTTCAATATTATAACAGGATCGACAGCGGAAATATTAAGTTAGAACAATTAGAAACATATTTCATTTTGGAGTTTGAGTGAACAGTAAATAAATTGATACCTGTGCCTCAGAGAGCTTTATTGTGAGTTGTATGTACAACAGAATGTTTTTTTCTTTTACTTGCTGGGTTATGTTTAGTACAGGAAGCAAGGGAGGTTGATAAGAAAGAGCCTACTTAGGTTCATATGAATCACTCAGTTACCGACAATTTTTTGTTTGAAATAGAGAAAAATATGTCATATTTCTACTTGTTTATTGTCCTTAGAGTTAGGATGTTGCTTTCATCTTGATATTCCATTTTATATTTCTTCCTCCTATCCGCATACGTAGAATGCCATTTTGAGGAGACGTTCGAGGAGTGCAGAGTGATTTCTTTGGGAACCGTTTAGAGTACTGTAATACAAATCGGAAAAACGCCCAATGACTACTGAGTGTTACAGGTCTCTACTATTACAAAAGGTGAAATAAATAGAGATGTGAAATTGGAATGGGTGTGTTGTCAGGGAAAACACATGAGGAGGTGTTTTCTCTTTCAACATTCAGGATGAGTTGATGGGGAAAGTAGTTATAAATAGTAGCAAATTCTAATTAATCGGGAAAGGGAGCACTCTAATGCTATTCGTTTCCCATTATGCCTTGAAACAGTTGTTTATTTCTCAAACGCAATTAAGTAGCAACCCTTAAGGCAGCTCTAGAATTCAAAGGACGGATTCTTTTGTGGGAGGATTGATGTAGGAGCTGCTGATAACTGAGATGTCACAAAAGTTATTGCTTAGAGCTGTCTTGGTGTGTTGTTGTTTTATTGTTGCACAAAAGCTATTTTTAGAAGTTTAAAATGTGCATTAACTGAAATACCAAAACAGTTTTTCTGTTAAACAACTTGAGCATTTTTAGTATCAATAAATTTCTTTCACATAACCACTGTAATATTTTTTTTCGAAATAAACTTAAGAGGCAGATTTAATCCCCAGCTGACAAAACAGAATATATACTTTAGAATTATTGATGCTTACCTTGTAACTGGAACTTTAGTCAGAAATATAGTATTATTTACATATGTAAAAACATTTAGAGTTAAAAAATTAATATATCCTTTATATTATCATCTTGGATTATTTCTTTAGTACAAACACACCAACAATACATATATGATTTGGGCACCCATCAATAAACTAAATTTTAATGATGTGGATATTGAGAGCTGAAATGAGACCTCTCTTGGTAAGCACAGGGAAGAAATTTGGACTCAAAATTCAAAATGAAAAATCTGATCTTTGTGTTATTTAGAATTAAAGCATCTCTTCATTGTTTTTTTTTTTTTTAATGACCTGTCAGGTGGTTGCTGTTTTAAACAGCTGAACTTTATTGACTCTGCATTTCCTCTTGCTTCCCAGTCTCCAGTAAGGTCCAACCATGCAGTCACCAAATCCCAAAATGCTTATTTTTTAACATGTCTTGGGCTAAGCATGGTGGCTCATGCCTGTAATCCCAGCAATTTGGGAGGCTAAGGCGGGTGGATCACCTGAGGTCAGGAGTTTGAGACCATCCTTGGCCAATATGATGAAACCCCGTCTCCACTAAAAGTACAAAAAAAATTAGCTGGACATGGTGGCAGGCATCTGTAAGTCCAGCTACTCGGGAGGCTGAGGCAGGAGAATCACTTGAACCTGGGAAATGGAGGTTGCAGTGAGTGCAGATCATGCCACTGCACTCCAGCCTGGGTGACAGAGGTAGACTTCATCTCAAACAAAACAAAAGAAAAAGGAAGTAGGCCTGGCATGGCGGCTCTTACCTGTAATCCCAGCACTTTGGGAGGCCGAGGCAGTTGGATCACGAGGTCAGTAGATCGAGACCATCCTGGCTAACACGGTGAAACCCCATCTCTACTAAAAATACAAAAAAAAATTAGCTGGGCGTGGTGGTGGGCGCCTGTAGTCCCAGCTACTAGGGAGGGTGAGGCAGGAGACTGGTGTGAACTGGGGAGGCGGAGCTTTCAGTGAGCCGAGATCGCACCACTGCACTCCAGCCTGGGGGACAGACTGAAACTCCATCAAAAAAAAACAAAGAAACAAACGAACACATAAAAAAACACCTTTCCATTAACCACAGCCTGTTTTTGATCCTAATAGTAAATGTTCCTACGAAGGCTCCTGTCCTGGCACAGGCTGTCCTGAGCGTTCACATAGACCAATGCACGATCCTTTCCTGCCCCAGGCTCCCCTCTCGGGAACACTGACACATCTGCTGCTGTCCTAGCCCTGGCTTCTATCTCCGGCAACATAAACAGTTCTAGTACCCATGACCCTGAAATTCAAGAAAGTCCATGATCGGACTCCAAACTGCATTCTGTCCTTCAGTCCCTCCCGTTTGTCCCCTGAAAAGTATCCTTGTTCAGTTGCACAGATCTGTGGGTTACTCCTTGACCTGACCTTACAAGAGAATGTTGTCCTCTTATTCCCGGCCTCTCCCTCTACCGGTCTGAATAGTATGCGTCTTTCAAAACGCAGTGCACATTATATTTATTTCAGGAAATCTTCCCTAGGCATTCCAAACAACAACCCACGTACATTTTCTTTGTGTGCATGAACTCCTGTAACACTGGCCACCTACTGCAATTGGAAGCCTGTACTCCTTTGAACTCACACCTGCCCTGAAGTTACCTCGCAATGGGGCTCGGGGCTTGTATATCTTTGTACATTCAGATGTCTAATAGAACATAATCCTCTGAGGCTAAGAAATGTGCCCTGAATGTGTCTTCTCCTGTGATTACCAACGTCTTGAGTTTTTCCCTGCTCCCCCTACCCCCATGATGGAGTTTTGCTCTTGTCACCCAGGCTGGAGTGCAATGGTACTATATTGGCTCACTGCAATCTCCTCCTCTCCGGTTTAAGCAATTCTGCTGTCTCAGCCTCCTGAGTAACTGGGATTACAGGGTGCACCACCACACCTGGCTAATTTTTTTATTTTTAGTAGAGACGGGGTTTCACCATGTTGGCCAGGCTGGTCTAGAACTCCTGACCTCAGGTGATCTGCCCACCTCGGCCTCCCAAAGTGCTGGAAGATATGTTGACTTTCACATCGTCAATAAGTGTTCGTGGGGCAATTTTGAATTACATTATTCCTGATTCAGGGCAACTCATCCCTGCCACTGTGCACGGAACCCAACGTGACTTAATGTAACTCTCTCCTAAATGAATGTGAGTCAACCATCCCATGTGGTGACTGATAATTGGTACATGTTTTCTAAATTTGAAGTTTTATTTACTTGTCCCAAATCAGAAACAATTGACGTTGACATCTATTTCCAACTGTGATAAAATTATTATATCAAAGGTCTAAGAGAAACTCCTTAGAAAGTCAGAAAGTGAATAAAGGCGAATCTATGAAGGGAGATTTTACCACTCAATATAGAAAATCAGGATATATTAATTCATGATTATTGTAAAATACAAGGCCTAGGGAAATAGCTTTGGCATTTATCTCGAGTTCGTCGGTCTTTCTAACTTTAACAAGATTACCCCTAATTTTCTGCAATGCTGATAATGAAGAGGTTAGAGGTGAATGTGATAGGGCCATTAAAATCAGAAAATCATGAATAAGTGTTGTTAAAATAGAATAGGTTTTCCAGTTTTCTTAAACAGTAATAATGCTTTTGAATGCATTAAATATTTTTAAAAACAGTTTTATTGTGGATAGTTAGGTTACACACCATGACAAAACCTACCTAACATAAAATATATCTGGTGATATTTAGAACTTATAGACATATGAGGGCTAAAGAAAGGGTCTCAATTACATTAGGATCATATTAGACTAGAGACCTAGCATTGCCTAAATTCTGCTTTTCTGTCTCCATAGTTGCTACAAGGTCCTAAGGGAGCCATTCACAGATCAATGGACTGATTAAAAAAAAAAAAAAACAAACCAAGGTATCATTTTATTTTATTTTATTGTCTTGAGACTGAATCTTGCCCTGTCTCCCAGGCTGGAGCGTGGTGGCAGGATCTCAGCTCACTGCAACCTCTGCCTCCCAGGTTCCAGCGATTCTCCTGCCTCAGCCTCCCAAGTAGCTGGGACTACAGGCACATGCCACCACTCCTGGCTAATTTTTGTATTTTTTAATAGAGACAGGGTTTCACCATATTGGCCAGGCTGGTCTAGAACTCCTGACCTCGTGATCCACCCGCCTCGGCCTCCCAAAGTGCTGGGATTACAGGTGTGAGCCACCGCACCTGGCCTTCATTTTATTTTTAGCTTGGCTAGTGAGTGATGTCTGGTTAAGATTGATAATCAGAGGGTGAAGCCACTGTCAAAGCTTTTATAGGGACACCAGCCTCATATGAACACCACACATGTTTTGACTTCTTATTGATGGCACTGGGGCAGCCGTGCAGTCAGGACTGGGACAGTGACCAGCAAATATGACCAGCACAGGGTGAGGGAGGATCCCAGAACCAGGGCCTGGATAGTTCCAGGGAAGTAGCAGTGGAAGAGCTTGTCACACAGAGGTGACTTCTTAACTGGAGCACAGATGACACATCACAGAAACCCATCAATGCTTAGAAACCTGGTTCAACAGGTTATTGTACCTTAGTGAGGGCACCAGAGGTGGACAGCAGAGGTGTTTGGTCCACTCAGATAAACCTATAATGTTCCCATAATTAGGTGATTTTGTCACTATTCTACCTACAGATTTTAGGATGATGAAATAAAATGTAATTTTCCTCAATGTATCTTTCAAATTGCTCTTGTCAACATATGCTTTAAATTAGTGACCCCTAGGTAAGCTCAATCATTACTGGTTAAGTTTGAGTATTTTTGTTTTTGTTTTTTGTTTGTTTTTCGTTTTTGTTTTGTTTTGTTTTTGAGTATTTGCAGTTGTCTAGAGAGAAGGAGAAGACCAATTAATTCAGAGATTCAAGGGTGAGATTGGGCTCTCATCATGGTTATACCTAATTCTCTCCTTCCCTAAGTGATATTATTATGCAGCCTTAGTTGACAACAACTGTGAGAGTGTGTGTGTGTGTGTGTGTGTGTGTGTGTGTGTGTGTGTATTTGCTGTGTGCTTATTTGTTAAGAAAAAGGATAAAATGACTAGTAATTAGAAATTCTGTGATAAAATAAGAAAACATGTAAGAGAGATAATAATTATGTTTGCAATACTATGAGGAAGTTTTGACAGGCATGTGAATTCAGACAACTACCTCCTCATGCTGTGGTGGTGTGTTTTGCGGTAGCTAAAAACGGATGGTTCACTTCCATATCTTGGCTTTTTTTAAAAAGCAGCAAAACCATACTAATATGGGCAGAGAAGTATTTTAGGCATTTGTAAATACAGGTGTGTGGAAAAGTATTCAAATATTGCGGTTGGCTAGAGAGAAGGAGCTTCCTGGGATATTCCTCTTAGAAAGTTAAAGCCTAAGGAAAAGCATTCAGATTTACACAAAGGGAACAGAAGAACAAGCAGACAGCCACATAGTTTGCAACATGACACTATTATTAGCAGACAAAGATATCTTCTTGATTTGGTCATGAAAATCTGAATGTTGACACTGTTTTATACAATAGTAAATCTAGTCTTTGCTGTTTGTAGCAAAATAAATATGTTAGATCACCAATGTAAATATTAATATGGAAAATAAAAATGATAAATATTGTCTAAGTGTCTTTCTAGGCAGGACACGTAATTTAGAAATCACATATAAAACTGAATGAAAAATTGGACTTCCTAAAACTTAACATTCAAAAGGCAAACGACAAGTTAAAATATTTCTAATAAGTATGAAAGACAAAGAATTGTTTCTCTTAATTTGTAAGATGCACTTCTAGAGCTACAAGAAAATTTTAAATAATCCTTCAATTGAAAAGCAGGTAAAATATACGTAAGGAGTCCAAATACAATACATTTGTGCCAGTAAGTATATTCGAACCAAGTTAAAACAATGCAGTATGATAGCTCGCCATTCTGAATGGGCATACCTTCACATTTTAGTAACAGCGTTTTTGAGGATATTGAAAACATGTTTTCATGTCTATTGGTAGGATATTAAATTGCTGCAACATTTTTGTATAGATATTTTGAAATTTTTCTCAAAATAAAGTACAAACTTTTCATTCAGAAATTCTAGCTAAGAATGTATTCTACAAATATGCATTCAAATATGACAAAATAAATGTAAAGGAATGCTTTTTGTTTCATTTTGATAATGTTTGAAAATTCAAACATGTCTAAGTATATAAATGTAGACTATCAATAACTCTCACTAGTTAAGTAAATTATATTAGCTCTACAATACAAATTACCATTAAAAACAATGACATTTTATTTGCGGATCTGAGAAGATCTCTCACATATATGTTTCATTTAAGAATAAACACAGTATCAGAGTGTCCATTTTCTTCCAAGGTTTTATTCTCTTTTAATAAAAGGCGTGTAAAAACTCATAATAAAACACCATCAACGAATTTCTAGATGATGGTGGGAGCTCAGAGATTCCTGATCTAGATATAATTTTAACAGGTTGTAGTGATTTCAGTAGAGGCTGTGGGAAGCTCCTCCAAGGGTATCTAACTCACCTGAGGGCTCTTAGATGGCTTCCCATGAGTCAGTGTAATTTTAACCAAGGTAAAAATACTGCCTTCATCCAGAAACAGTAGGCCATTTTAGTGTCCCTGGCAGGGCATGTGTGAGGAGAGCATTTTTTTTAACATTTTCTTTTTCCTGTGTGTGTTCTCTGTCCTTGAAATTCTTACACTGAATTACATCTGTGTTTATGCTTATCCTATGTCTCTTTCTCTCTCTGTATAGTTTTATGTGTGTGTATATACTGATACTGTGTGTATATATACATATACATATATATGTATATGTGTATATATGTGTATATGTGTATATATATGTATATATATGTGTATATATATGTGTATATATATGTGTGTATATATACACACACACATACATAGAAGTATATATATATGAGTGAAAAATTGGACTTCCTAAAACTTAATACTCAAAAGGCAAATGACAAATTAAGTTAAAATATTTACAAGAGGTATGAAAGACCAAGAATTAGTTTCCTTCATTTATAAGATGCACTTTTAGAACTACAAGAAAATGTTAACATAGAACTGCAAGAAAAATTTTAAAAATCATTCAGTTGAAATTTGATACTGTGTACATATATATATATATATACACACACACAGAAGTATATATATGGTATATAATATATGTGTATGTATATGCTTCTATCAGCCTTTCTCCACTGGGGGTGATTTTTTTGTCCCAGGGAACAGTGGCAGTATCTAGAGACATTTTTTTTTAATTGTCACAGTGGGGAGATAGTTGCTCTTAGAATCTGACAGGTATAATCTAGAGATGCTGATCATCGTCCTGCAGTGGACAGGATATCTCACATGACAAAGAAGTGTCTGCCATACAGTATCAGAAATGCCAAGGGTGAAAACCTTTGATTTATAGCAATATCTAGAATTGTCTGTACTATTCCTATACTATTCATATGTCTGCCTACATTATTTTTCTGTTCAAGGCCGAAGCTTAAAGAGGTTAGCTGGAACTGGCTGAGGGGAGCAACTGTTATTTTTTTGGCGGGGCAGAGGCAGCCAGCAGAGGCTGGGGCATCCCGGAGCAGCTGGAGTGACCAGGAATGGGAGGTGATGTTGGGCATCGTGTCAGGAAGGAAGTGAGTTTTCCACAGTAGTAGACATAATCAAATTTCATGAAGAAATCACTTTAGTAATTATTTTACATTGTCTTTCAAAAGGAAATGAAATAGTTATTTTATTTAATACCTTCTGAGAAAAGAAAGTGTCAAGAATCAGTAAAATTGTTAATTTACTTCTATTCTTTTTTCTTCAGGTATCAAATCCACAGAAGTAGTTTGTTGAAATAGTTTAGTGGGAAACCATCCATATTAATATGCAATAAAGAGCTATAAATAGTTTCCCAGATTTTTCAGGATTTTAAATGAGCTTTATGTGGATGATCAAGTTTGAAGCTGAGTGACTTTTTTCTGTTTAAGATTTACTTTTTCTTCTTTCCCCCATCCTGCCCATTTCAAGTGACTGGACAGCAAAGTCTGTTGCTGATTTATCCTTTCAACCTCTAAGAGTAGCTAAACATTCAGAATAAACAAGTGAGTTTTCATCGCATAATATTAGTTGAAATATTGAAATGTATAGTTGTTTACTGAATAAGTTCAAAGGGAATGAATGCTATATACAAAATATGTGAGTTATTCACTTTTAATTCCCAAAATTTAAAAAAGGAATATAATATTACTTAGAGTATGAAGCAATTACTTGCTTTACCACAATAAATACACTCACCTACTTACGTATCCCTTTGCAGAGAAATCTGATGCACTTTGTTTATATTTGAATGTACTAAAAATAATAAAGAATCGAAAAGGCAAGTATTTCACTTGATTTTCTTCTTGCTTATATCGTTCTTGCTTATGTCTTAGAACCTGGAGTATTAACTAGAACAGAATTCAGAACTCTGCACAGGGCTTCAGGTTTTCAGATCTAAGTGAATAAAGCCTTCATATATTTTCTTTGGGGCATCCTTGAACTGAAGGGTAGGTCAGGATGGGGAGACGTCTTTGCAAGAGGTGGAGTGAAGCCCACTGCAGAGCTCTTCCTCAGAATCAAGCTGGCGCCCTGCCCTCCCACACCCTGCCCCCTGCGGTCCTGACCCTGACTGGATTTCCTTGGCTCCATGCCCTGAGTCTAGCTCTTGTTGATCTCCTTCTTACAACCGCTTTAAGATCAGATAACTTTCTCTCAACGTGATTTTCAGCACAACTTCCCAAGCTCAAATGTTGCACCCATCTCACACTAAACCCTCAAACAGAAGGTTCAGAGTTACTACTATTGTTGGACTACTACTTCCTTCCACATACTTTATAACCAATATCTGTTACTTTTTCCTTTAGAAATCAGTAGCATTAAAAAAAAAGGTGTGGCTGGCTCCCAGCTTCAAGGCACAGCCCCCCGCAATGAACAGGCTGTATGTTCAATTTGAGAGAATCAGAGAGGAAGCAGAAATAACACAAGGGATTGCTTCATGCAGGCTGTGTCCTCTCAGCCAAAAGAGGAAAACTGAGCTAAAGAAAACCTTGGCCTGCTGAAAACTTCCTAAAATAGCTTTGTAAAGGAGATAGTGTCTCTGTTTCTCATGGTCTATACATGAATCTTTCATGGCAGTTTTTCTCCAATTGTAATGTCAGTTCTTACAAGTCCGTGATAGTCCCATCAAAAATATATCAAGGTTGGCCAAGCATGGTGACTCATGCCTATAATCCCAGCACTTTGGGAGACCAAGGCGGGCAGATCACTAGAGGTCAGGAGTTCGAGACCAGCCTGGCCAACATGGTGAAACCCCGTCTCTACCAAAAATACAACAATTAGCCAGGCGTGGGGGTGTGTACCTGTAGTCCCTGCTACTCGGGAGGCTCAGGTATGAGAATAGCTTGAACTTGGGAGGCAGAGATTGGAATGAGCTGAGATCATACCACGGCACTCCAACCTGGGCGACAGAACCAGACTCTTTCTCAAATATATATATACACCAAGCCTGTCTTGAATATGTTACGGATACGATAATCATTATATTTGCTTGCTTAGGTTTAGGGGTTTTCACATTTTTTTTTAGATTAAATATTTCTAAAATGTAAATGCACGGGATATGTTGTGACTTTGTATTTGCTCGTGTATACAGGAGAGCCAGGGGAGGCAGGGAAGTCCTACTTTGGACTAGAGATGGTTCAGGTAGGGAGGAAGTGGAACATATGTGCTTTACAAAGGTGGATTCATTCAGAGTATTTACGATGATTGTGCTCATAAATGTAGACTCATTAAAATAAGGCACTCTCAAAGAGGCGACTGCTTCAAAATGCAGTGCATGTTTCTTACATGGGGAAGTTGAAAGGATCATTTACATTTTGCACTGAAACTTGACCCTCTATTGAGACTTTTTAAGACATCCTCAACTTCCATCACTCTTTTCAGCTATGTCCAGTAAAGGAAAATTAACTGGCGTTCCAAGCAGGTGACTTGTGCTTAAACAGTGGAAGGTGAGAACGTGCTGTGTAGACGAGGTTGCCTGTGGGTCTCTGTATCTCCCCGTACGAGATTCCCGTCCTCGTATTTTCCCTGGTATGGTCATGTCATAGTTCTCTTGTCATCTGTGGCACCCTAGTTTGACCCATCCAATTAAGGAACACTTTGTTTTAAAATGTGACTGTCATTCTTCCCGGTTTCTCATGATCTCTATGGTATAAGCGGCAAGCACGCTGAATAAAGAATAAGGTGATGATAAACTCATCCATTCAAAGAGTTATGTTATGAAAACTGCTGTTCTCTACCAGGAGCACACTTTAATTTTAAAAAAGAATGCCAGTGCCTTCTCTGCCCACCACCCCGAATGGAAACGAATGTAATTTGAAAGGCTAAGGTGGGTGTGATGTGGACTCTGAGGTCTGTGTGGGTCACTTTCTGGACTTGACTAGGGTCACAAACTTGAATACCCTCAGGAGTCAGGCAGAGAGTGTGAATCAGCGAAACAGAGCAGGTGTCAGATCATAGAAAAATACATTCTTGTGAGCTTGAGAATTATATCCCGTGTAAACAGAGCAGCTGCTGCTGGGCACCGACCCACCGTTGCCAGGCAAAAATGTGAGGCGTGTCCAATGTCGTGGATCTTCCATTGTTCATCAGCAGCAAAGAATCTTCAATATGTGAAATCCCCTCCGGTTTAAATTCCAGTGCAGGCCAAAGGCAATGCACCTGTGTAGCAGCGCTTGCAACCTCTGATGTAGAAGGTGATTGACAACTGCAGCCTTGTCAGTGCCATATGCTGGTAATTCCAGAGAGGATTGGGAAAGGCATCCAAAGAAGTTGACCCCAAAACTGGTTGAGTCTTTCTAGATTTCGGTTACTTTCTTTTGATAATGGAGAGATTTGACAAGAGCTCGAAGAATTCTTCTGCAATAGACTAGCTAACCCTTTCCCTACTATAGCTTGTGTTGCAATGGTATGGTTTGATCTACCGGAAGTGTACTTGCACGTTATCAGGGGCTTTAGACAAATAGAGGTCATCTCATTCTTGGAACAGTAGTTGATTTGCCAAGTTTTACTGCAAACCTGCTATTTTGGTTTCCTAAATTAGAATTTTGGTATACAGAGAGCCCAGTTTACCTTGGATACATAATAGATTTCTTTACGCAAGAGCTAGAGATAGTCATTTTGAATACTAGCTTGATGAATGAGTCCTTTAGTTACAATTATTCACATTTAAAGGTATATTTAGTAACCAATAAAGTGCAGATATTGAAAATTTTAAATTGGATGAGATTTATATACAACCGTGGAACACCACCACCATCAAGCTAACGAATATTTCTATCACCCACAAAACTTTTCTTGTGACCCCGGTCATCCATCCTGTGTTCTAAGTTTTGTTGCCAGCACACCACTGAACTGTTTTCTGTCACTATGAATTAGTTTGCTTTTTTGAAATATTATATATGCCAAATTATATGAAATATATATATACACACACACATCTGTATATGCCTAACTTCTTTCACTCAGAATAATGATTTTGAGGTCCATCCACATTTCTTCATATAAAAATGGTACATTTTTTATGGTTAAGCAGAATTCCAATATACAGCTATGCCACATTTAGTTTATCACTCTAATAGACATTTGTTCCCCCCTCACCCCCCTGTTTTTAGCTATTAGAAATAAAGCTCCTTTGATTATTTGCATAAAAGTCTTTGTGGGGAAAATAGTTTAATTACTGTGGTCAAACATTCAAGAGTGGAATGGGTGGGTAGTATGTTTTATGTTAAACTTTTGAAGAAGTGGCTAAAATGTTTTCTAATCTGGTAGTCCCATTTTAAATTCCCACCTGAGGGATGAATTTTAGTTGTTGTATGTTTTTGCTATATTTAGTGTACTCAGCCTTTTTAGTTTTCGTCATTGTAATGAGTGTAGAGTGTTATTTTACGGTGATGTGAATTTGCATTTCCCTGATGACCAATAATATTAGTATTTTATGTGCTTATTGATCATTCAGATATCTTCCTTGGTGAAGTATCTGTTAAAATATTTTGCGCATCTTCACTGCAACTTTTGTCTTCCCTTTGAGTTATCAGAGCTTTCTAAATATTCCAGATTCGAGTTCTTTGACTGAAATATGTATTATAGGTAATTCCTTCCACCAACATTTATCCTTTTAATGGTATATATTTAACAACATTTTTTAGTCTTAAAAAAGTCTAATTTATGTTTTTTCTTTTGTGTTTCCTGATTTCATGTGACATATAAAAAACTTTGAATTTAACTGATTTTTAAAATATTAATCTGTATTCCGTGACCTTCCTAAATTCAATTAATTTTAGTAGTTGTTTTAAAGATTCCATGAGAAATTTTTATGGAGGCAACCATGTCATCTGCAAAGAGAGGCAGCTCAACTTTCCCTTTTGTGCCTTCTTCTTTTGGGTGCTGTATTGAAATGCCCAGCTCCTTCAGTACAATGTTGCACGGAAGTGGTAAAAGTGAGGAACACAGGCACAGGTGGGATGTAATGAATTCTGTCATCATCATCCACAATGTCTTTTGTACCAGTTATTAGCATATTGCCCTTCATTTCCAAACCTGCTCTTCTTTCCTCTGCTTTGTAATTCCGAAACCAAACCTTGTACACATGTCGCGTTTGCCAGCTGCCACTATGTTAAGCTTTCTCAGTAGAGGGTGCTGCATGGACACAGCAGGAGGAAGAGACATTCTTACTAATTTCTGCTTCTGATTATGTGCCAGTCAGCATTGTGCAGGGTATCCAGTGACAATCATCTCCATAGTTTTGCTGTCACCCCATCGGGTAGCTCGCCAGAAGGTCCCACAGACATTAGCTGGCACTCGTGCTGGACTGTGTGGAGTGTTGAGCCTCAGCATGCATTTTTGCTGCCCGGTGGGCCACTAAATCCTCCCTCCTCAGCCAGCTCTGAATCTCAGCCAGGCAAGTATCCTCTTTTGCCTTTTTCTTCTTTGAGTACTCTGCCTGAGCCTCCAGGTAATGTCAGGTCAATATGTCTGCCATTCTTTTTTTTTTTTTTTAATTCTCTTTACCCCTCTTTGCGTTTAATCTTCTATAAATTAATCGTTCTTCATACTGAATTTCCCTGATGAGAGATTTTGTCTCCTGCCTAGAACTGCACTAATATGTTGCTTGTAGATTTTTCACAAATGTTCTTTATCTGCTTGAGAAAGTTTCCTATCATTAGTAGTTTGCTGAGGGTTTTATTATGAATAAGTATGTAATTTTTTCATATGATTTTGGCATCAATTAAAATGGTAGTATTTTTGCCTTTTTTTCTGTTTATATGTTCAATTACATTGAATTAGTTTTGTGAAATTTTAATCCAACTTCTCATTCCAGAGTACAGCCTACTTGGTCGTAAGGTACACTAGATTTTTCAAATATATTATTGGGTTTGACTTACAGTAGTTCATTTAAAATATTTGTGTCTGTATACATGAGGGGCTTTTGTCTGTAATTCCCTTTTTTGTAGCCTTTTTAAGATTTCACTGTACAGGAGACGGTAAATTATTAAAAAAATGAGCAGAACTGTTTTCTCCTCTGTTTCTAAAACTGTGTAATTTTGATGTGATTTCTAGATAAAATTTAAGACAGAAAAATCTGCTCCTGGAGTTTTCTTTTAGAAATCTTAAATAAAAAATTCAATGTATATTCTAGATTTAGGGCTGTATAGATTGTCTCTTTCTTCTGGTGTCAATTTTGGTGAATTATGTTTTTCAAGATATCCACTTGATCTCTGCTTTTTAAATGTGTAGGTACAGTTATTAATGCAGGTTGAGCATCTCTAATTATAAAATTCCAAATCCCAAATGTTCCAAAATCCAAAATTGTTTCGTGCCAACATGACATCATAAGTGGAAAATTCCACACCTGACCTTCTTTGATGAGTTGCATATATACTTTAAAATATTGTTTAAAATTGTCTTCAGGTTATGTATATAAGATGTACATGAAATTAAATGAATTTTGTATTTAGTGTTGGGTCTCATCCCCAGGATTTCTCATTATTTATAGGTCTGCATATATTCCAAAATTCGAAAAAAGAAATCCCAAATCTGAAATACGTCTGGTCCTAAGAATTTCAGATAAGAAATACTCAGCTGCTGTTATTATTCTAAGTCCACTTCAGGTCTGACGAATATATGATAAAAATGGATTTTTCATTTTTGATATTGCTGATTTGTATTAATTCCCTTTTAAAATCTTTCTAGCCAAGAGTTTGCCAATTTTCTTGATTTTTTTAAAGACCACATTTTAATTTATTATTTGCCAGTTGCCTATTTTTTTTTACTTTACTCAATTTTTCTCTTATTTTCACTCTTCTATTTATTTTGGGTTTAGTCTCCTTTTTCTTATAAGTTAAGTGGAATATAAAGTCACTAATTTGGCTCTCTCTTTTTTATAAATAAGTAGTTAATGCTATGTTTCCCTCCATATAATAATTTATTTGCCAAACATTTTATAGTGATTTACTAGTAATTTAGTTTAAAATATTTTCTAACTTCTCTTATGATTTTATCTTCGTCCTATGCATTTTAAGAAGCATGTTGTATGATTTCATATATTTGGGCTTTTCAAGCAGTCTTATTTCTATAGATTCTCGTTTAATTCTACTGCAGTTAAAAAATATACTCTGTGCAATTTTTATTCTTTAGATTTCTTGAAACATGTTTTCCTTGTCTTTTATCATCTTGGGGTAACTTTTTTATAGTTCAGCTATAAAAGTAGAAGAAAGCGTTATCTATGATTATTTAGCAAATTTTAGACTCTGGTCAAATTATTTAAGTTTCTCAAACTCAAATTCCTTATATTTAAAATGGAAATATTGATGTCTATGTTAGTAGCTTTTATGTGTATACATATATATGTGTGTGTAATACATATGTATACACATGTATATTTCTTACAGGAGAACAGACTTTTAGATAGAGCAATTGTTATTTAGTTTTATTTACTATTTGATTTTTCAAATAATTCTCCATATTACCTTAAATTTCTACTTTCTGAACACCAAACACAATGGAGACATATCTTTATAGTCCTACTCTTAAAAAGGGAAAAATGTATACTCCTATAACTGATAATAATTAATTAATGTGAGTATTATAGCAGTATTTATTGTGTTAATAAATATTTCATTCACCATACTATTCTAATTTTATAAAATGCATATATAAAATCAATGCTTAAGAACATATTTGTAATTATGCCTCATGTAACACTATGCTAATTCTTCAGCATATAAATATAAATGTATTATTAATATTTGATATTTTGTTGTGATTGGCCCAGTACTAATATTTATGCTGTAATTGTCCTAAAATGACTTCATTTTATCATGGAATTATTTAATTCCAAACAAAACATATTATTTCAACTGATATGTGCTATGTGATATGAATACCAAAATTGTGAGGACATGCCTGGTTTTCCAAGTTCTTCCTCTTCAGAAAACAAAGAACACATACTATTAAATCAGGTCAACAATAGCTTCAAAAGTCTTTTTTAGTGACATATCTTTGGCACTTCAATAAAAATATGACGTCCCATGTGGCTAGAGTACAGAGTGCACAGACGGATAGAGTGGAAAATATAACTGGATGTATCTGGTGAGCAAATCATCAAAACACTAATGCAAGATGCATTAGAGCTTAGCAAAACGTTTGGACTCAGAGTTAGTGACATTTTGCAGTTACCTAGTCCAATGGGCTTTTCTTCTTGCTACTTCTACTACACTAGCTACTGTCACAACGACGACCGCTAGTTGAAGGACTAAATTAATTATTTCATGAAAAGAAATCCTCACTCAAAACTGGACATCAGTCTTGATGCTAAATATTGACATTCCCTTTGTTAATTAAAATTATGTTTATTTGGAGAAGGCTATATTGCTTTAATTTTGTTACATGCATTTATTTAACAGCATTTAAACATAACAACATGTAATTAGTCTTTCAAAAACTATTTGGGGTGGTGGTGGTGGGAAAAAATGTAGACATTCTGCCCACCACCCTTAAAAGTAAGTGATAAACGTTCATTTCTTTCTCATGAGTTAAATCTAGGGCAAAAGACTAGAGAAATTCAACCAGGATATTTATTATTTAATATTTGTTTGGCTTTCGTACCGGGAAAAAATGCTTGAGCAGAGAAGTAAATAGGTAAATTATTTTTGAAATAGAATTGCAGTATTTTAATCTCCTTCTGGTATTACTGAAGCTTCTGTTATGTTTACTAGAAATAAAATATGGATTTGTTATTGTGGTTTCTTTTGTGAAGAGTTTATGGCTAGAGCCCACTCTGTCTATTCTATTACGTGTACTCTTGTATTTCATATACCACACATTAAAAGTAAGGTAAGATGGAAGATCCTGTAATGTTTTCTCTGAACAGTGAAGTCAGAAATGTTTTGGGGCTTCCTCAAGATTCTGAAAGGTGGCAACATTTTTACTCAGTGTTGAAAACAACCAGAAGGTCCATGCATCACGTTTTGGATCTAATATTTTAGCTAGAGTGATGTTTGATTGAAATCCAGTCAATAATTTAACGGTTTCCCAAGGCATTCATTTCAGATCTGAAGCTCAGAAAAACATCAAAAGCCTTCATTTGTTGGATCCAGGAGAAGGCTATGTAGGCGATAAGAAGAATCAAGAAATAAATATGTACACAGAGCTAGAGAAAAACTTATTCTCTGAGCTTTGTTCTTGGTTTCCCACCAAGAATATAAAATAGGCCTTAGGTCCCTAACAGCACTCCGTGAGTCCTGCCCACCTTTGCTCTTCTGTTCAAATCTCAGAAATATTTCTGCAAAGTAAACTGTTCCATTGCAGACATCCTGCAAAAGTGTGTTCGTCAAGCAAAGCTGGGCTTCCTGGATTTCCTGCTTATGAGGGACATGGCTGAGCTTAGCAATATTACAAAAGAGGCGCCATTGAAGCACATTTATGAGGTCTGGGCTTGAGTTGGGTAGGATGAGTCTTTCCAGATGGGGGAAATTGTTGGTCACATGCACATCTTATGGGTGGTCCCTAGGTTTGGGTTCTGGTTTTGTTTTCTTGAAGGACAGAAACCTTTCATGTGACATTTGGCACCTCGGCAGATTGTACCAAAAAATTCAGCATGATGTGGTAGTGACCTGTCACCATAGTGCATATTCTAAGTGATCTCTAAAGTAAAACTGGCCAAGAGAAATCTTATCCAAATAGGCAGCTCCAAATCATAAATATTTTAAAAAGAAATATTGCATCTTAAAAAGTTAATTAACAAGTGTTATTGCATAGGAACTGGGTCCCAGGCATTGGTCCAGGTTCTGGGGTAAAATGAGAGCAAGAAGGGTGAGTGTTCTTGGTCTCTTCCAATGAATATACTCATGGAGGAGGGAGATAAAAAATTTAACATATGAGCAAGCAAATAACTCACTTTCTAATAATGAGGAATGCCAAATAGGAAATTAAACAAGGTGTTGGGGTAGGTAATAAGTGGAGTGATGAAGAACAGATTCACTGAGGGCTTTGATCTGAAACCTAAACAATGAGACTTCAGCCACATGGAGATCTGGGAAGAGTATTTCCAGTGAGCTTACTTTATAACCAGGTGCTTCTAAAATATTGCTCAGGATCGATAAGGAGAGCGCCACCATGATGGAATCAGAAGCCAAATCCAGACAGAAACCTCATAGCATTGTCTAGTTGACAGGTGATTTACCAGAATGTTTACCTTTCTGTTTCTGGCAAGGCATTTGCCTTACCAAAATATCAGTCCTACTACCTTGCATATTTAAAATATGGAATGACAGGGTTATTGGAGTCCAGTGTTAGATGAGGTTGTAATCAGCTCTGTTTACATTCCGTTTTCTAATTTAAACTTGAATATTTTTGGTTATATCTGTATCAGTTTATAGACATTATCCAACAAAAGAAGGTGAAGCAAGTAATCGCTCTTAAAGATTTTATTTATATTTTCTTTATTCACTATTTGTATAAAGTTGCAAAAACTAATTTGATTAAATCAAAGTGGCATAAGAGCAGATAGTGATAATAGAAATACATCTTGTCTTAGTTGGCATAAGAATTTTAAAACATGTTTCAAAAACATTTTGAAAAAATATAGAGTCTTAACATCTATTATTTATAAAAATAAGATTAAACTATCATCAATTAATAAAATTTTAGAAACATGTTAGAAATCACTTATGGAATATTAAGGAATCTATTAGGTAAAAAAAAGAAATCTGCTTGGAATAAATAAAAGACAATACAATCAGAATTAGTAGGTCTGTTATATTATTAATATCCAATGCAAGAGTAAAACAAACTATAATTTTAAAAATTAAACAGCAAAAACCAATGAATAAGCCCAGAAGACCAAAATGAGTTTCTTGTCTTTAGTTTTTTCCTCTGGATTCTACAAATAAGGAAGGGTAGCCATGCATTTATGCCAATATCCCTGGAAAACATACACAATGATGATCATCACCATTGGATAAGTGACAAATGAGTCAAGATGCTTTTAAAGTCAGTTTACTGTTGGCTCTTTCTCAAGCGTTGGCATGTCCAATGTCAGCTGTCAGTAGTTGCTAGATCCTGTATCTTATTCTATAGTGTTTTGTATTTAACCAAAGTTTACTGAGTATTATAACTGATGTATTGCTGGCATGAGAGAATGAGAAAGTCTTTGTATTTGGTGTGATTTAGAGAGAGTGAGCAGGAGATATAATTTATAACCAGCTTTAAATAGTTAGTTTTACTCTTACAGACTAAATAGCCAGTGTTCTTAAAATGCACCAAATATTGGAGGCCACGATTTGCCTGTTGTGGTCATCTCCATGTGACCTCAGAGTTCTTGAGAAGGACTCAGGTAGGTGGCATCTTCCCTATTATTTTCCTGAAGAAAACATTCATTTGGAATTCCAGTGTAGACTTGTACAATTGGTAAACCATTCCTCTTGTTTTTTTCAATTCTCAAAGTGCTCCTAAGTAAAGTGCGGAACTTCAAAAAAGAAAACTAGGTATTTTTGAAGTTTTAGCTATGGGATCTGTTCATTTATTTTTATCACAACAAAGGGAGTATGTTATAGGAAGATGTCTAAATAGTTTGGGCTTAGGCAAGTTGCACTATGAAATAAGAACACTCCAGACTATTGGGTAGAACTAAGTTTATTTCATCCGAAAATTGCTTTGAGAATTATCTAACCGAAAAGGTGATGTGGTTTTTTACAGAAGAATTTGAAAAAGATTCTGGCTAGATTCTTAATCTAAGTTTTGAAAGGGGCACTGTACAAACAAATAGTTATGGGCTATGAATTCATCCAAAACAGTGAAAAAAGAATGCTTTTGAAAGAATAATATATCAGAAAAAGGAAGGTTTTGATAGATTATCAGGAATAAGATGGAAATAGTCATGTGTTAAGTATTGAAGTAGTATTAATTGAAATGTAGTTCCATTTTATTTTTATATTTGGGGATCCTAACAGGCAGTTTCAAAAAATTAACAGAACAGTTTATGTGCACAAGATGGTATAAGGAAATAACACCTTACACTCACAAAAAAATATATTTATTATTTAAGAATGACTTTTGGCTATAGCGCCTCTTTTGCTTTGAATGAAGTGTTTATCCTCATAGTATGAAAACCTATTGGCCCTCACACATTTGCTAAATATGCAATATTTTTCCTACTTTAAAATTAGAATTTGGACATTTGTAAGCAATTAAATTACTTTGACCTAATCAATGAGGAAATTGGTCTGCATTTCTAAATAACGGTTGTACTTTTTACAAGTCAGTGAGCTATTCTTTCACAATTTCTCCATATGTTAAGATAAGAAGAAACACCATTGCTGTATATTATGGGTGTCTGAGAGTTTTCTGGGTTTGGGGGAAGATACTGCGTAAACCCAATGTGAAGAGATTATTTCATAGTGCCTTAAGCTCTCCACGTTCTATGCAGGTGTGTTGTGTTCACATGGGTACACACACGTATTTCCTTCTGTTTCTCTTTGCATGGAGAGTGTAAGGGCGATAATAGATTTGAAATGGGTAGTTGCTTTTTCCTCTTCTTGTGCCCCACTTATTTTGTGTCATGCAGTTACAGAGGTACTAATAGATTATATCAGTTTGTAGATCTGAGACAAATAGGAAGCCTTTCTCATCTGAAAATAACTGTGAAGTCATTAGCGTCCACCAATTCTGATTTCAGGGAAAATTACTTTGTACTACAAATACGACTGTTTTTCAGACAAATCATAGAAAATTCATAACATATTTGAAAATTATCTGAGATTGGTGAACAATTTTTTACTCTAGAGAAAATATTAATAATACTTTATATCTTTAGGTTTTCATATTATTCATTTTTAAAAAAATAATGTCTGATTATCTTTTAAGAATATATGCATTTTAAATTCTACAGACATATTGTAGTCTAAATTATTATCTCAGGTGACAGTCTTTCCACTGTAATTGAATATTTTAAGGAAGTGTTCGTTCCATGAATGGTGTGCATTCGTGCATCCAGTGTGTGTGCGTTTGTGTGTGTGCGCACGTTTGTATGTGTGTGTACGTGTACGTGTGTGTGTGGTCATACTCAGCGGACTTTCCTCTGGTTGTTCCTGTGTTCTATGTTCTAGGTTTCTAAGTTCTAGATACTTCCGCTTGTGCTATGTTACATAATTCTTATTAGTATATGAATCTTAAAAATAAAGAGATCAGTTTAGAGGTGACATAATTTACTAAGGCCCAAATAAAAAGCAAAGGTTAGAGGCTTATTTAGGTGCTGGATTTTCTGACCTTAATATCTGGACTGTTTTCTGTCAACCTCATCATCACTAGACAAGCCATGGAGGTAATGGTGGGAGTGCTACCTTCAAGACAGGATTTTCTACAGAGTTTTGGCCTTTGTGTCCAGTCCGTTTAGGTGTGAAACACAAATGTGTAGCCTGAACTAGTCTTGGGTCCATCTCCTCAATATGCAGTTTGCTTTGCTGGCCCCCAATGCCCTTTGTTTTCTAAACAATGTCTTTCATGCATAACTATTATTATTATTATTATCAGAACTTAAAAGTTCATTGTTTTTATTGCATCTCTGTCCGTTCTCACATTGGCTTGCCAGTAAACTGTCAAATCTTGGCTCTATATTGCTTATCATAATTTTGCATGTGGTATTTCAGGGTGTTTGTCCTAAAATTTTTATTAGGACATGTAAAATCTTTATTTTCCATGAAGATTCCTAACAATAAAAATTCACAATACAAAAGAAAACTTCTCTATCTCTACTAAATTTCAAGTACAGAAGATGGAGTGATTGAGGAACGTTTTCTTTTTTTTTTTTTTTTGGCATTAGACAGCCTTCTGCTTTCAAAAATAACACCATCATTGAACCATTTCCCATGTGAATCCCAGTCCCTGGGTGGTCTTGATGTTAGCAGTGAGAGAAAGAGTTTGTTAAAGATCCAAATTAGAATTCAGTCTTCTATTTTTTTCACTTCTGAATGATTTACTACTGCCATTTGATGGAAAATTGACATTTTTTGCATATAATTCATTAAGGGTTGTCAGGCAAACCTCGCTCAAGTCACTTAGCAAAAAGAGGGTGAAAAAAGTCCAAGCACCTGCTCAGCCATCACTTAACTGTAGTCATTGTGTGTGAAAGTGCTGGGCTTACAGTTGCGGTCTCTGATGAGAGCCTGCCACACTAGTAGTGTAAGTATGCTCTTCCAGGCCATGGTGAACAGGTGCAGCAAACTTGGTTCTGGAGGCAACTAACCTAGTTCATGAGTAGCATGAGCTTGCCTAAGCTCTAATTTCTCTTTAGGATTTCTCTGTGTGCCAGTGTGGAGGTGAGAATGACAACCCTGTAGACATGGCCACCTGCGGTGGTGTCTACTCTAGTGCAATGGGCACTCGGAGCATGGATGGCGTGCCTTGGCTCATCACTCTGTCATTTAAATACAAACAACAATTTGTACACACTCAACAAATTGTTTTCTCTCTTACCAACTGGACATTATTTAAATGAATTAGAATTGTTCTTGTTCTCTTATGGGAAGAGCAATCAGCTCGTGTTTAGAATTGTGTACCTGTGTGTGTGTGCATTCAGCTATAAGACAAGCCTAGGAAAGTGAGGGAAAACCAGCCACCAAATGCAAAACAAGTTCCTCTAGCCCCCTTACACTGAATTTTCCTGGGAATCTAATGTTATGAGATCAGTTTTGCAGGGACTGTTATATCTCTAGTCCCTGTGTCACAGCATCAGCTCTTCCCATAATTAGTACATAAAATCTCTGCCTATCATGTTCAGGAAAGCATAAGAAAGTATTCTAGTATGCTCTGATTCACTCAGGTTTGTGCTCTTGTTTAGCCTCTCTTAAATTCTGTCAAAGCCAGGAAGAGACAGAGGCTGGTGTTACTGGTGCTGTTTGTTGAGTGTGCATAGATTTGCAGGTACACACACATTTGCACACACAAACACACCCACCAGCCTCCATACCCTGAGAGTGGCAGGGATGTGGCGTGAGGTTTGGGTGGCAGTTGAGTAGATGGAGAAGGCTGATGGGTCCCCTGAGTGGCCTTACCCTTGTCCTCATGGTTTCTGGTTCATGGCTCAGGTCCAGGCACACATTCATTCCACTGTTCCTCCAGTTCCTCGGTGTGGAGAAAGCTTAAAATGCACCAAATATTGGAGGCCACAATTTGCCTGTTGTGGTCATCTCCATGTGACCTCAGAGTTCTTGAGAAGGACACAGGTAGGTGGCATCTTCCCTATTATTTTCCTGAAGAAAACAATCATTTGGAATTCCAGTGTAGACTTGTACGATTGGAAAACCATTCCTCTTGTTTTTTTTCAATTCTGAAAGTGCTCCTAAGTAAAGTGGGGAACTTCAAAAAAGGAAACAAGGTATTTTTGAAGTTTTAGCTTTGGGATCTCTTCATTTATTTTTATCACATGTGCTGGAAACGGAAGTGTTGAAAACAAAGGTGATGAAGGCAGTGTGCCTGCAGCCAGTTTTTTTTAGCACTCAGCGTTCAAGCCACCGACCGTCTCCGATCAGGTCTCTGCTCCTAGTGTGAGATGCATTCCTTCATGAAAAGAGTCTGTGCCTCCTCTTCCCAGCACTCTTCTATCCTCACCTCCTAGGGACACGCCGGGAACCATGGCTTTCTTTTCATTCCAATTAGATGGTTAAAATTTGACTATTTCAGACCTGAGCACTTAGGAGGAAAAAAACACACAAATTAAGCTAAATGAAATCCTGAATTCACAAGTAACTATTCAGGAATGTAGAATTTGTCACTGATTGCCAGCTGACCTTTAAGATGCATTATGAAGGTGGCAGGCACTTCAAACCCTGGTGAGGAATTACCATTTTAAGCTGAGGTTAAATTCGCATATGTGTACAAAGCAGGAGAGGAACACTGAGTAATTTTGCTACATTTTGAATAGATGACTCACAAATGAGAATATATAATTATAAATAATATTGAAAATACAACATCTTTAGTCATGATGAAAACACACAGTAAATGAACACAAGACACACTTTTTCTCTTAACAAAATGACTTACATTTATAGGAGGTTAAAGAGAAAGAGAGTTTCATCTTCTGGTGAGGTGAGGGGAAGTGTAAACACTTCTGGGAAGGCAATTTGGCAATACATATACGGGTCTTAATAAATTGCGATAGTTTTATCCACAAGTTTTATATCTAGGCAATTTGAAGAAAACTATACAATCAGGAAATGGTACACACTGAGAAATGTTTATGGCAGTGGAGTTTAAAACATTAAACAATCAAGAACTAACCAGATAGCCAGTGGGGAGCTGAGTTAGACCCAGCATCGGATAACCATGAAGTGAGCTTTGTGTAGTCTTCAAAGAGGGAATAATACAAACTTTCATATTTATTGGTATGAAAAGGTTTTCACAACACAGGATTAAGTGAAGAGTAAATTGACGAATAGTACCCATTGTAAGATTTCCTTTATATTTAAAAACTGTGTATACACTCGCCCAGATGTATCTATAAACCCATATAGAGAGGTCTAGAAGAACATATTACTAAACAGTAACAGCCATTATCTCTGTGGAGAAGAGTGCAGTAGGCAATTCTCTATGGTCTTCTTTCACTTTTCTTAAGTTTTTGTAAATAGACCAAAAAGAAAAAAAAATGGTAGTTACATTTCTAAGGGAAAAAGGGCTGCTATTTTCCAAGGAAAGGATGCAGATACTAAGTTTTAAAACTACAATTTTATCGAATGTGATTTCCAACATAGTTATGTCATTATAACTCCTCATGGACAATTAAATGTCATTAAAATGATTCAAAAACGAAATCGTATAAGGTTTTCGCCACACATGCAGTTGTTTATACTCACAGGCATGCATGCCATCCTGAACTCTTGTGAAAGGCAATATCAACCATGTTATTAGATTAAGTAACATATAATTGGCAGTGTAGTCATGAAGAACCATTTGCAAAGCTGTTACAACCATAAAACCTACTTTTTGAAAGAATAACAAACTAATTCATGGGATGAATTAAATCAACTATTTATAATCAGGTATTTCTAAGTGTACTGACATGTAACTCAGCCATCAGATATTTACCAAAGCAGGGAGGAAGGATATGTATGACAAAACGGCAAACATGATACCTCCTGGGGTATTCTTTATAAAGGTGGCATCATAGAAAGAGTGGTGTTTATGGAGTCTCAGCTTGGGTTCTGGAGCCTGTCCCTGAAGAAGACACCTGACCCCTTTGGAAATAAATCCTTAACCATAAAAAGAACATATATTTGAAACTTTCTGCATGGTGTCATTAGAAAGATTAAATGATTGATGTGACTCACATGCTTACAATAGTGCTTGATATGTTGAATTTAATACTAGAGGGATATTGCTCAATTTCATGGATCCAATAGTCAGTTTCACGAACTTCCCACTTGATCTCTATGAAGGATTTAGTCTCTCTTTCTTGCATCTGTATCCCCAAGTCTTGTTTACATCCTAGTTTTAAATGAAGTAGAAGAAAGCAGGGGAAGAAAAGGTGTTCATAACCTATTAGTCTTTAAATGACACCCTTTCCCTGAAAAGGAGAGAAATAGAGGTAGGGGAGCATCCTTATAGCAAGAATTTGGATGAAATGATATCTAATTGTTTTTTTTTTTTCCTGAACCCTGACACAAAGCAATGGTCATTCCCATAGGTTTAGTAAGCTATTGAAGGAATTACCAATTAGGTAGTTTAATAGCCAGCATAGGAATACTTACCTGATAATTTCCTTGTAAAGGGGATCCTTCTTTTTGAAAATATCCTGCATCCCATCTCTCTTAAATTTTTACCAGAGCTATCAGAAAGCTCAGGGCATTTGATGCTTGGTTTTATCGTATATTCTCACCATAATCTGGATTTGTTTGTTTGTTCCTGTTTCAGTACTTCATCCCTGCTTCTTTCTTCTTTGACTTTTTTCTGTTTTCTTGTTTAAATTGCTCTAAAATTGGCAATGTTTCCTGTACAATCTGCAGCGTAAAATCTTTGGAAGTCACTGGCCTATTAAGAATGGGATGTCAAAAATATGCCATTTTGCTAATAAGATCATACTCTGTGATGGCAGTGGCTGTTTATTCTGCTCACTTTTGTACATAAAGTGTTTAGTACAATAAAGAAAGCATAGTGTTGTTTAATAGCTAATTAGTGAGTTATTGAATTCATATATTAATCAATTAATTAACATAACAAAATACCCCAGCTAGGAATGAGGCTTTAGATCATCAGCTTTCATCTCTTTTGTTTTTCTGAGACAGGGTCTCACCCTGTCACCCAGGCTGGAGTGCAGTCACGCAGTCTCGGCTCACTACAACCTCTGCCTCCCAGGCTCCAGCAATCCTCCCACCTCAGCCTCCTGAGTAGCTGGGACCAAAGGCACACACCAGCATGCCCAGCTAAGTTTTTCATTTTTTTGTAGATACAGGGTTTCACCATCTTGTCCAGGCTGGTCTGGAACACCAGAGTTGAAGCAGTCTGCCCACCTCAGCCTCCCAAAGTGCTGGGATTACATGCATGAGCCAGCGCATCTGGCGAGTATTTCATCTTGAGGATGAGAAAACTAAAACTCAGTAACCTGAAAGTGGAGGATTTCAAGTTTCAGCCCAACTCCTCAGATTTCATGTTTTTTTTTTTTTTTTCTACATTCAAGTATGCCACATTCCTTTGAGCACCTCAGCAGGAAAAAGTATAACATTGTGTTCCAGAGTTAATCAAACAAGGTTTACAGGGCTTAACTTTGGATCCATTTTTAAATGTTAATTTTAAAAGAACAAACAAATGTTTTCTAGTTCCCTGTTCTATAGAAAGCAATCTCTTCTTCTGCCCATATGCCTTAGCATGCTTATCATGTGTATCACACATTCAGCTAGGTATTTTCCAGCCTCCTGAACATATGAACTCATAAAAGAAAACACATCGTCACAGACTTCACTTCTGAAATGCCTGAAGGATAATTTTCATAATCCCACAAAGAGGACTTTAGGACATTGCTTAATAAACGGTGATTAAAAATGTATGGCGGGCATTGCTAGCGAAAATGACGCATTTGTAGTATAACTTTGCCATCGCATCCCTTATCTTGACGATGGAGCAGAATAATTGTTAATGACAGTACTGGCGTCTCTTATGGAGATTCCACATTTAAACACTCCAAATAATACATCAGTTTCTTGACACTCTGTCTCTCCTCCTCCACGTTCAATCCACTGGCAAATCATGTCAAGTCCACTTTCAAGATAGATTGAGAAAGCATCCTTTTGTCGAGCCCTCTGCCACTCCACCATGTTCCGGTCAGCCACCACCGTGGCTACCTGGGTCAGGGTAGTTGCCTCCTCACCCATCTCCCCACTTTGCCCTTGGGCCTCCTTAGCCCACGGTGCAGACTTTTACCACTGAAATCAAGTCATAAATCTCCAGCTCAAAATGCTTCCATGGATTTCCACCCCTTTGGAGTAGAAGTCAAACTCTTTACTTTGCCCTGAAAAGACTCCTAGGGTCCCCTCTAATGCCTCCCTCTTCCTGTCTTCACACCAGGGACACTGGTCACCTTGTTGTTGGTTTCGAATACACCAAGCACCATCTCCTCCCAGGGCCTTCACCTGGAACACCCTTTTCTGGGCAAGGACACACCCTCACATTATCCCTGATGCCTTCTCTGACCACTGTATATAATAACATTGATACAGGTGGGCTGGGGAAAGTCGCCAGATGTCAGTGAGACCTCAACACTAGCCAGTGTCCAAGCTCTTGACACCACAGTAAGAAGGAATTCAAGGAAGAGTCAGAAAATAGTGAGGAAGATTCAGAAAATAGTGAAAGTACAGAGATTTATTGCAAAGGGAAAAGTACACACTCAAGAAAGGGAGTGAGGATTTACTCAAGAGAGAGTCACTCTCAAGCGGTTTGAGGCTGCTACGTTTACTGTTTTCTTTAACCAAGGGGTGGAATACTCACGAAGATTGCTGGAAAAAAGGTGGAAATTTTTTGGAAGTGTAGTGCCATCCATTTTTACACCAAAAAATGGCTGGCGCCAGAACTCTCATGATGTTGGCGGACATGGAGTTTAGGATGCTAATGAGCATTTAATGAGGTCCTTGTTGAAACCTAGGTCAAATTCAGCACCATGTTGAATCCAGTTTGTCTTAGCCAGCTTGGCACACACCCTGGGTTTTCTGGGTCGTATCAGGCCCTAGCTTCACAACTGTTTCAACAGTTTCCTTTTGCTTAGTCACGTGAAGTTGTTGCCTGCAATTTTCTATTCTCCAGCAACTACTCCGTATTATTCCTGTCTCAGAATCAATAGCCCGTCCCCCGCACTCCCTAACCCTTAACATTCTGATACGTTCAAATGCATTTTTTTTTGTTATTTATTTTTTCCATATTTTCTACTTATCACTAGCAGAATTATCTTATAATTACCTGTTTATTTGCCCATTGTCTACCTCTCCCACTCCTGCCGACACTATCAATTAGTTCCTTGAGTACAAGGATCGTGCTTTAAAATTAACTGTCTTTCCCAGGTAAAAAAAAGTGCTCCAAACACAATAAATATTACTTGAGTAAATGAATAAACATATGAATGAATAAAAATAATATGGTTGAAGAGCAAATGATCGATTTTCAAACTTTACCACTGGATTTCCTGAAATATGGTGCCACATGAAAAAATTTAACTTGCATCTTAGCAATTTCCAAAAGAAAAGGATGAATTATATCTACTCATGTACAATGAAATAAAGCTATACTGATATAATGGGGAGAAAGTTCACGGTTTGAGTTATTTTTGTGATTTCACTTTAATTAAAATGTCATATTATTTCTGGATTTATAAAATTAGTTTTCTATTTGGGGAGAAATGATACTCCCCTTTATGTCAATTTGAAAATTTACTATCCCTTCATAAAAGGTCTTTATTAGAAAAAGGTCTTTATCAAACTGGAGGATAGATCAATAATACAATATTATGTACAGAAGTCATCCAAGTGAATAGAACACATCATGGTTGACTGCAATCTTAAGCCCATATTTGTCTCCGTTTTGCTAATTTCAAGTGGTTCTCCCTCATTACCTGGTCCTTGAGAGAACAGTGCTGTGTTTCAGCAGCTGACAGCCCTGCTGCCATTGGCCGCTGTTGTCTTCAGCCACACACAGAACCAAGAGTGGTAAAGGGCTTGGCATCGGATGATGTTGTAATCACAGCAGGAAGAACAGCCACTAGCAGCACTGTGAGCCCAGGGAGCCAGGAACAAGCAAGAAGCCTCACCTCTGGCACAGAAAGAACTCTTTTTTTTTTTTCTCTCCCTGTTTCCTTGACTGTTTTCTTCCCAGTCCACAAAGAAATCATTTATAAACAGACTCTAAGTCACAGTCCCTTGTCTTAGGTTAATTTATTAGGTTTTATTTCTAACTGAAGCATATTTTCTCCTTCCAACTCTTAGACCTGCAAGGCGTGCTGAGTGGAGTGCAGTGCCCAGTGACAGTTATGTGTCCTGCGGTTTAGAAGCTCAGTATTAGTGTGAATTAATCCTGCAAGTCATTTCAGCTCGATCAATTTTGAACGTGAGATATAGCCTCCCACCACCGCATCCTTCTCAGGCTTCCAAAATAGAAATAGACTCCAACCATTCCTGTCAGCTTGGTGTCTGGGCTCCATATTTCATAAGGCCTGGCTTTGTCCATTGGCTCTGCTCTGGTCTAGCTTAGACACATCCTCGTCATAAAAATGTTTCCATCTCCCAGCATTGATCTCGGGAACATTCCAAATGTCTCTACTCCAGCCTCATTTGGCTGGAATTTGACACGGCAATTAGAACACGAACCCTTGTCCACCATCAAGTTTCACCTGCCAGTGTTTGAGAGCATTGGACCGGTGAGCTTGCAATGGCAGCGTAAATTGATTCCCAGATTTACAAGTCACAGATCGTGGATATGAGACAACCATTCTTTTTATGCATTCTACAAGGGACAGAAGTATAAGTATATGTTAAAGCATTATAAGGAAGATAATTTTAAAAAAGGAAGATACTAGGAAAGGTCATGGTTAGATTTTATTGACTATTCATGATTTTGCCTCCCAAAGTCTTTAGAGAAAAGATAATTATCATTTGCGTAATTGTAATTTTTCTGTTAACTCTGTTTCCTGGTCAATTAGGTAAATTGGCAGTCGGGCATAAAGGTAAGATGAATCATCATAATCAGGATAATTCTGGGGACCATTATAGTCTCATTCTATGTTCAGAGTGGTCCTCCAATTCTTTATCTATAAAATTAGGTTTACAGGACTCAACCTCTCTTTGCTCATAGATAATTCATTTTGGGTTCATTGCTTCAAGAGAACCCACCCTGTGAAAATTTCTTCTTCTTCTTCTTCTTCTTTTTTTCTTAAAGGTAAACTTCATCGGTCTAACGTTAGTATTTGCCTTATTTGTAAAGTTAACGTGTCCATGGTTGCTGTCTTAATTTCAAGTTATATTTGAAGTTGTTCTGTCTTTTTTGAGAATTGTGAACACGGTGACATAATACTAATTTCAGTGATTTTTAAAATACTTTGGTACAGGTTAATTTTAAGTTCCACATTAGCTTAGCAGGAGTTAGATAGGACTTTGGTGGCCAGCCACAGATATCATGGGGGTTGTTGCTTTAATGTTCTGGACAGCACCACAGGAAGCCTTACTCGTATCTGGCATAGACCCACAAGAACAAATTACATCTCTGGCAAAGAATCTGACATGCGCAAGCATGATTCTGAACCCCGAACACCGTCAGAGTCAAAGTAAATCTTCAATAATTACCTTTTGCTATCAGAGTACTATACTGACAGATCCTTGGCTGAAAAAAGGAGGTACAACTAAATATTGAGGAAGAAGTAGATCTATATTCAAATTTTACAAAATTAACTGCAAACAATATTTTGTGCATAAATGTTACCATTAAGCCCATGTATCATCATCATTCCCAAGTAGGAGACATAGTTTGGAAAGAGGATAAACAGATTGGTGATGTTCTGATTCCATTTCATTTGCAGAGATTTAACTTTAGTTTCACTTTTTAACATTTTTAAGCTAGGTATTCTGTTGACAAATTAGAGATTTAGAAAAAAATAAAAGCGTTCATTTATTGATAGCTATTTTGATCATAATCAAGTCAGAAGCTAATGACCACGAGAAGAAATGAAGCGGGACAAATTCATGAACTTGTTGATGATCCTTCCTTCCTGGAGATCCTAGTCTTTACGCACGCGCACACACACACACACACACACACACACACAATGCTATTTGTCAAGAGTAAAGACTAGAATAATATATTATATATATATTGTATATATAACCATTTAATGCATATTCCTGTTATATAGACACCAATGTCTTATATCTATTGTACCTTTATTTGTACTATTTATGAAAAAGGTAGTAGTCAATCAAAGTTAAAAGGCTTAGGGGTAGAGTACTTGTTGCTAACTTTCCGATTATGTGAGGACTTTGGAATAGAGTTACCACTGTAAAACCAGATTTGGAATACAGACATAAGTGGAAAGAAAAAGAATAAAAAATTGTTTATCTGTCTATGATAACAACTAAGTTGATGAGTAAGTTAACAACTGTCAATAAACTGATACATATCTTTCCAGTTTCTATATAAAATTCTTTTTATAGTGAATAGATTATAACATGTCAATTTGTAATTTAGAAATGTATATAGATGTACATTAGTGATCATTTACAAATACAATCATATCCCAAATCCCCCAGAGTAATACTTATAAAATTAAAATCATTAAAATTAAAATTAAATCATTAAAATTAAAAATCATTCTTCAATATTTAAAATGTGTGCTGCTTTCTCAAACATTGGAAATTATTGTGTTTCATTCCAACTTCTCCGGTACACCAAAATCATCCTAAATTGTCTAACAATATTTTTTCATTAGCATACAAGCCAACATTTAGAAGTGAAAGAAAATCACTGTTTTTAATGTGACAGAAACCCACGTCATTTTAAGGTACTTTTGAATGAGGTGATTATATTCATTTTATTTTCATGTTTTCGCACTATTTTGCAAAGCTAGCTAAATGAAATCATGAGGTCACTTAATATTTGTTCTGGTTTTCTTTCCTTTTATTTTACCCACTGCTTATCTTTTAAATAGGATTAATACTTACCTTTATTATTTATGGAACATTTGTTAGGATCAAACTTGCTAACTCCTGTACATTCTGAATGGAGTTTTAAAATTCCAAATAATGGAGGTTCACCACATTTTTAAGTGGGTTTAATATATAATGTTTTGATATGAGTTTAAATTAAAATGATATATTGAATTCTTAATAAAATAGAGTTGAATACAAAAAAGGAATTGATTGAAATGTAAAAAAAATTAAAGGAGTATGAAAAATTTGCAGCAGGTCATGGTTCAAGAAAAGAGAATTTTCTTCTATTGCTTTGGTGTGCAGTCAGTATTTTTAAGCACATAATTAGAACTGATATTTTCTTAAAGTAATTAATATAGCTATGTCTCCATAAAAAATTCAAGCCAAAACTATTCTCATCATATAATTTTTATTCCCTTATTAGATATTTAGAATTCAAATTATACTTTTAGTTCATTTTTAGAATTTCAGTTGGAGAATCAATATTTTATTATTAAAAATAGTTCAGTCTTTACTAAATTACAAATAGTCTGAATATCTTCTTTTTTATCTATTTTTATAGTTACATTCATACATAATAATCTATTTTAACCTAGATCATATCATTATATGATAGCGTTATTATTTATATAATTATAATAAAAGATTTCTTTTTATTGTTTATTAATACAGGATAAAGTCAGCTTACCTTTCTAAAAAATCCAGTCATTGTAAGGCATCATTTAGACAATGCTTATTATAGATTTTTCTGCAGTAGTTATCTGTAGATGCTGGTGGCTTCCTTGTAGATAACAACAATGAAGATCTTAAGACAATTAAGTCATTTCAAGCCAAGAAGTATTTGCCACTTGCCCTAACATGATAAGAAAATACGCCTTCAAACTTCTTTGAATTTTATAGAATATTTCTTTACTTGTAGGCACGTTAAAGAGTTTTACATCTTGTCTCAATGACTATAATGACCAATATGTTCCTAATATATTTACGGTTTTATTGTATGCGTACCTGAGATGTGCTGGACAGCTCTGGCCATATTAAATAAGGTTTCAGCTGTCCTCCTTATAAATATTTCAACAACATGTTCCTGTGTTCCGTATCTTGGACCAGCAAATTAATAGTGGATCTCTCCTGGCAGTAGAAGCTTCTGTTTCAGCTTCCTTATCTGCTATTTGGTTTGGCTTCGGACCTCTGAAGTGCCTTATTTGTGCAGGGCCCCTTTCTTCCTCTTTTTTAGTAAGAGATTTTCTCTTCTAAAATAACTCCCAACAACATCAATTTTCAATGACATAGGGTGGAAAGGCAATGCCTCAAGACATGAAATAAGGGAATTAATTTTTTACATTAAGCCAGTTCACCTTAGGGAACTGGGGGAGCAGAAAGATTTTCCTGAGGCTCTTATCTCAATAAAGGCAATTGGTAACTTTGCTAATACATCCTTTATCTATTTCTATATTCATTCTTCTTGGGGAATGCCTGCTAGCAAATGTCATTTGGAAGGTAAAGATAAAAGCTTTCAGAGAGTACAGTTGCTGGCTCTGAGGAGGTTCCTCCAGCACCTGTGTATAAGCTTCACAAGGAATTCCTTCTTGTTCACACTCTATGTAGACGGTTCCAGGCTGTGCCCTGCTCCACAGTGCTTCTGACTCAGAACCCAGGGTGAAAGATGCACGCTAACCTCAGACATGCTCAGACATGGATAAATCAAGTTTACTCACTTTTCATTTGGTCAAAGTTAATGGGGCAAATATATTTTTCTCCAGCTACAGGGAAGCACTGTAAGTCATAATGCCGTGAGTGGAGATCACGATCCCCTCATTGCATGATGAGGGGTATGGAGAAATAATTGCAAAAATGAGACATCCGCCATACTTTGTAATCTGTAAATGTTGAAGGCTGGCAGGAAAGTACTGAACTCTTACTACTAAAGTATTCAATTCTTAATACTACCTTTTATCATCTGTATGACCATAGAAGTTCCTTTATGATCTCTGTCCCTCCTTGTCTATTCTGTAATATCACACCTGTCCTACCAACTTAACATTCAGGAACAGATGAGATGATCCCTGTAGAAGTGGGTCTGAGGCTGTGAAGAACTATCCTAATGCAAGTTATGCAAATGCCATGATAACAGACACTTCAGAGAGGCCCTGGTACAGCTCCACCTCTGTCTCCAAGGGGACTTCCAAACTTTTGCTTCGCTGTCACTCTACTCCCTGTCTTATTCTCATGCTTTTTAAAAAAAATCTGGCCAGGTGCGGTGGCTCACGCCTGTAATCCCGGCACTTTGGGCGGCCAAAGTGTGGGGGATCATCTGAGGTTAGGAGTTCGAGACCAGCCTGACCAACATGGAGAAACCCTATCACTACTAAAAATACAAAATTAGCAGGCGTGGTGGCGCATGCCTGTAATCCCAGCTACTTGGGAGGCTGAGGCAGGAGAATCGCTTGAACCTGGGAGACGGAGGTTGCAGTGAGCCGAGATGGCACCGTTGCACTCCAGCCTGGGTGACGAGAGCAAAACTTCATCTCAAAAAAAAAAAAAAAAATCTAATTAAGAGGGAAATTTTTTGGAAGGCATTTTTACATTACTTTAATATTTTTCTTAGCTTCCTCAACAGTCTGTATAAATGTGGCGATAAGCAAACCTTTTAAAGTCAGAATATCTTCTTTAGATATGTAAGTTTGTCAAGATTGAGAGATTGATTTCTTACGTCTGAAGTTACTAACAATTTATCCTCACGCCTTAGTTCCCATAAAGAGCAGATGAGTTTACACCCTCTGTCTTTCTGTGAGTAGAAAAGAATGCCATTCCCCTATTTTTGTGAAATAATTTTGTCAATTTCTTATCTAAACATTGGTGGTAATCTGTGATATTTAATTTCACAAATAAGGTTTGATGTTGAATTTGAATAAATGTTTTCTTTAGGATGGAGAGCACATCAGGAAATAGTTATAATCAACTGTGTTCATTTATAATTTTCATACAAAAACAGATGTATATATTTATTTAGCCTATTATATCTGTAAACAGACTTCAAGAAAAGGCATTGATGATCACTTGAATTTATTTCTGAAATAAGGAACATATCCATCTGTAGCTATGCTTTCATATTGGTCTTAATAGCTATATCTTTAAACTTCACCGTTTATTAAGTCTATAGCTATGACTAACTTTCCATTTCTACCCATCTCTATATTTGCTACATAGAGTACCTAAGGTCAACCTGGAAGTCAAATCCAGTGTCAGAGTGGGAGAGAGAGAGAGTAGAGTATCACGTGAGGAGGGTCCATGGCCAGATATGGAAATGTATTTGACATTTGCACTCCTGTTCTGCGACCACAGCTCAGCTACATGGCCCCAGCTAGGCAATAAGTGCTGAGAACGTCAGCCCGACCTAGACTGCCACCCTCTAGTCCTAACTCCACAGTATAAAAGGGAAGGACAAGCCATTGGTGGGTACCTACTGATCTGTTCTGCGGTAACCAACCCTAGACTTTCATTTCTAGTTATCACAGTGAACACCTCCATGGAGGTGGATGGACAGAGCATATGCGTGTCAGATCCATGCATACCTGGGTTCAGCTTATGAATTATGCTACTTTGAGCAGTTTACAAAAAACTCTTTGAATGTAACTTTAATTGTCTCTAAGTTGGAGATCATTTGCATATGTAGGAGCATTATTGTGATAAACACTAGGAAATATACTTGGCTTACAGTATCCACTGTGTGAACTGTGAGAATTATTGTTACCATTGTTTGGAATTAAAGAAAGCTGGTTAGTGGTTGCTATGACTGGCTATCACCTGGGCCATGCTGATGGTGAAATAGTTTGCATGTCATTCCTACAAATAACCAAATGTCTAAAATAATTAAATGAGATGGACAGAAGTGTGGTAAAGTACAGTATACATTTATATTCGTTGACGTAACTTATCAATGAGATTTTTTTTTGTAATTTTATATATTGTGCACTTAGTGTAAAAAAAAAAACTGATGGTTTATATAATTTAGAAGTTCCACTCAAATTTGAGCTTCCACTCTGTCTTCTCTTAATTAGGTACAATTTACTCCAATTTAGGATTATCAAAAATTTTCCTCCTTGCATTCTCAACAGATCTTTAAGGAAAAAAAAAAAATTCTTCCAGGGTGACCATGCTATTCTGGGGTTAAGTCTGTCTAGTTGACTACACAGTAATGAAGCCACATGATCCACCACAGTATACAGTTTATCTCCTTGCTTGGACACATGGGGTAGAATTATTTAATCTCATTTTGTCCTATCTGAATCATTGTGCTTTTTGTTGTCATTCTTATTGTTTTAAGTTTTAAGTTCTCCCTACAGATACAGTACGTTGGATTTTTTAATACCTTAGTCTGGAAGGCACGTTCTAACACTTTTTACTTAATCCTAACATTGTCTTTGTGTAGAGTTAGTTCATGTTACGTGGATTCTTTAGAAATAAGTAAAGAGTTTAATACATTTTTAAACCATTTTATAATTTTTCTGGTACACGTAACTTTCTTGGAAGACTAACAATTGGTTTAACATTTGATTTAGAAACAACTGAAATTATTGTTTTTTTGAAGATCTTCACTGACTCTAGGAAAAAAGTCATTCTTTTTTTCTTCTACAAAAGTAAAAGTAGTTCTTCCTTATTTTCATAAGCTTGGACAATACAATTTGTTCTATTTAATACTCAACCTATTTCTGTGATTGAAAAAAATTTTCCACCTACTTAGAGCTTTATTTTGCTTCAATAAACATAAACTGAGTACCAGTACCCACACTGGCACTAATTAATGCTTATTGTCAACGAGTGTAAATATTTCAGAGGAAATTAGGTGTCTAGATTCCTAGCATAGTTAATTTTTATTGAGTTGATTTAATATAGAAACAAATGTATCTAAAGTGGATTTTTTATAATCTTGAACCAATGTGGAGTTTTCCTTGCATCTTTTGGCAGATACATTGTAACTAAGCAGCCACACCTGTAGCTGGAGTTTGGTATTCTGTGGTCATCCATCAGCCACCATCACTAATAAAATAACTCAGATTTCATGCCTGGCTGATAGCAGTGATTTCCATGACCTTATATGACAGAGCTGCATCCACCTGTTAGAGCTAATATCTAGGCACCAGCCCCTAACCTCCAACACCATTTTCAGCTGTTTAGACTGCTAGGAATTCAGCATAGTATTCGTAATTCAAATAGCAAATCCAAATCATCATTGTGTTTGAGCAAGGTGAGTGTGGCATAAATTAGATTGGAGAGCTCTCAGGCATGTAAATATTCATCCCTACAACTATGATAATTCCGTTTTACAAAAGCTTTATTTATCTAACTTGACTTTTTATTGGAGTGGGATTTGTAAAGAGATACAGGGGAAGTTTGAGGAAGCATTTATTCTAGCTTTTTATTTTCTGTGATTTTTGCATCTAATTAAAGACATGCAATTGTGAATATTGATAAATGTTCTAAAGAACCTTATATCTATTTTATATATAATTTATATAAAAATAAATCACATATATTTTAAAATAATTAGAGATGACAATGATGTTTATTATAAGAGCAGCCATAATTTTAGTACCCACCATATTCTCCAAATCTTACCTAATTAATCTGTGTCTCTCTCACTGCATCAGAAGCTTCTGTGAGTTTGGGGGACAAGCAGGCTCATCTTTCTAGCTCTTGTGGCAAGCACAGTGACTGGCCTATGAAAGTCATCCCATTACTTTTTAAACTGAAGTAGAAGAAAAGCTAAACTACAGTTTTTCATGTGATATAACATGATGGTCCAAAGGAGTTAATAATATCCTTTAACATTTTTTTTCTGATTGTGTTATAGTATGCTACAGATGTCTCAAGTACATAATTTTGGTCTTAAATATTCCATTTTCATTTCTGTGTTTTATTTCTTTTTTTGTTGCATTGTTTTGGGAAATAAGTTTTATTTCAAATGGGCAAAATAGAAAGATATAGAGTAACTGGTCAAGTATATTTTTAAAAATACAAGTAATAAAATTTAGATGAAACTCAATTCAAAGCATTCGTTTACAAGAGGACCAGGGGTGAATTTACATTTGGGGATGGATATTTAACCTTGGTCAGGTCAACATACCTCACACTACTTTAGGTCTGTGAAATGAGAGTGCCATCTCTCCTGCTTATTTGAAAGGGTTATTTTAAGGATCTTATAAGTTAATACATTGATATCTATTTCTCAAATTAGAAATCAAAGGCATGGGATAATATATCACCACTATTGTTATTAGAAATTACACACTTTATTATTTCATTCAATCAGCATCACAAGTTTATTATTTCAAAGTTTTGACTGAGGAGAGGAAACTGCTTTTGTTAGCTGCAAATGCTAGAAAAAAAAAAATTGTGTGTTGTATTAGTCTGTTTTCATGCTGCTGAAAAAGACATACCCAAGGCAGGGAAGAAAAATAGGTTGAATTGATCTTACAGTTCTACATGGCTGGGAGGCCTCAGAATCATGGCGGGAGGAAAGAGGCACTTCTAACATGGAGGTGGCAAGAGAAAATGAGGAAGAAACAAAAGCGGAAACCCCTGATAAACCCATCAGATCTTGTGAGACTTATTCGCTATCAGAAGAATAGCATGGGAAAGATCAGCCCCCATGATTCAATTACCTCCCCCTGGGTCCCTCCCACAATATGTGGGTATTCTGGTAGATAGAATTCAAGTTGAGATTTGGTGGGGATACAGCCAATCCATATCATGTGTGTATTTCGTTTGTTCCTTATTGTTCCTTTCAAAATGAACTGTTTTTGAATGAACTGAAGTTAGACCGAGTGTTCAAACAGCAAACGTACTATTAAAAGGAAATAACAACAACAAAGTTAACAAAGACAATGTTGCATTGATTTAGGAAGAATATATGCACTTCAGAGATTTAATTATTAATTATTTTTTTTTTAGAAAAGCTTATAGCTTGGTGAGAAAATACTGTTAAGGAACAGAGTCTTGTGTGTTATACATAAAATTTTAAGTATTATGTCTATGATGAAAATTATTTGCATAATGATCAAAATTGCTATATTTGTTTAGAAATGAATAGAAAATTGTCTTTGACGATTCAGTCTAGAAATCATTTTTCCAGAAAGTCTCCCTGAGACCCTTAGAGAGGAGGTTTCGTTTTTGAACCTTCTCTAAATCTAATCTTGAAGCTTGGGTTAAGCATCTCTCCCTTGTGCTTCCCGCTTTTACTTAACAATAGTTAATATACTGTCCTATGATTTTTTTTAACCTATCAAGTTCTCCTACCAAAACCAAACTTACTTGATGTCAGTGGGTATATATTATTCCAGACTTATGTATTCCTGAAGCAAGTTTTTTAGATACTGGAACTACATTCATTATTACAATTGCAGTAACACACAGGGAAGTTGGCCCTTGAGAGAAAGGAGCAAGGTTGGGCCATGCTGTGGGCAGTGTGGCAAACAGGGAGTGTTCAAGTGGTGGATCTGGTTATGGGGAGATGTGGGATCTCTGGATTTGAGGCTGTACAAGTGGTACAGTTCATATAGTTTAGTAAGAGCAAGATTTACAGTCAGGCCTTAAGAGTGGATGGCTGCATGCAAGATCATTCCATGCAAAGAAGGAATGGAAGATCCATGTAGACGTGTCAGTGTCCAGGAAGGAAAACAGGAGCTCTGAAAGAGAGAAAAAGGTGCTGAAATGTTCTGTGATGGAGAAATGAGATAAGAATGGCATTTGTTTTGCTTTGTTTTTTAGAAACAAAGTCTACCTATGTTGCCTAGGCTGGCCTCCAACTCCTGAGTTCAAGGGATCCTCCAGCCTCAGCCTCCCCAGTAGCTGGGACTACAGACATGCATCGCAGTACCCAGCTTCACTGGTTATACTTAAGTAAGGAAAGGGACATTGTTTAGGAAGCAACACTGAGAATGTATGGTTTCTGTGCCACCAGAGCTAGTCTACAGTAGACATTAGCATGAAGCAAAAACAATTGCCACCATTTGAGAGGACTCCAAAGGAAGCCACAGAACCAGAACAGTCTTACCAGGCCTTTCCATTGTTGTTAGCATATTGACAATGTATAGCATTATTTGGATGGATGGAATGAAAATGAATGCATCAATAGACAAATGAATAAACAGATAAATTGTTGAATCGACATGATTATCCTTTGCCTTAGAAATCACCCTTTATCTACTCTTTCCTTTTTATTTATCATATTATACCTTCCTGTCTCAGAATTACAGAGTTATAGCCAACTCAAGCCAATTTGAGTTCTGTTCCTACGTGTCTACATTTTAGGATGTTTCTGCAATTAATTAGTAACACTCTTTCACTGTGAAAAACTAAATGAGGATGCTCAGAATTCCAAATTCCCCAAGCTTTTAAAATTCCATCCCTATTAAAGTTATAAAAAAAGGCACACCTATGTTTACACCTCTAAGGTTTGTTAGTGACATACAACAAGGAATCCAGTATATTCCAGATCCCAAAATTTATTAGTTTTATCTCATTTCTTTGGCATCAAGTATGAAAAACATTCAACTACTGAATTATAATATGTAGTCTCAATATTTAAACCACTATAACCATCCACATTCCTTTTACAGAGTCATTTCTCTTCAGCATGATGAAGATTTACTAAGGAATTGTGTCCTAGACACTTATCTATTAAGGTGGGGGTAACATCAGAAATATGATGATATGTCTGCCCTAAAATAGCTTAGAGCCTGGGGAGGAAAGATAGCCATGTGAACAGGCAGGTAACAATTTCAAATGTTAAATGGAAAGGTTTTAGTTTTGATTACAAAGGCAACACATGGGCAGCAGAGTAAAATGTAGGTTTTGAAGTTGAAAGACCAGGTTCAAATACATATTTGCTTCTTGTTTCCTGTTATGGGTTAAGTTGTGCCCCCCTCCAAAAAAACGCACACATCAAATTCCTAAATCCCAATAACTCAGAATGTGACCTTATTTAGAAACAGATCATTTCAGGGTGGGTGTGGTGGCTCACACTTTTAAGCCCAGCACTTTGGGAGGCTGAGATGCGTGGATTACTTGAGTTCAGGAGTTTGAGACCAGCCTGGCCAACATGGTGAAATCCTGTCTCTACTAATAATACAAAAATTAGCCAGGCATGCTGGCGCCTGTATTCCCAGCTACTCAAGAGGCTAAGACAGGAGAATCGCTTTAACCCAGGAGTCAGAGGTTGCAGTG